>NC_000013.11:77499015-77650530 GCF_000001405.40 Homo sapiens | reverse complement strand
ATTGCTATAAATATCTATGTACAGCTTTTTGTATGCATATAAGTTATCAAATCATTTGGGTAAATACCTGGGAGGATAATTTCTGGATCATATTTTAAGACTATGTTTAGCTTTTTAAGAAACTGCCAAACTGTTTTCTGAGGTGGATATCTTAGTCCATTTGTGTTGCCATAAAGAAATATCTGGCTGGGTGCGGTGGCTCACGCCTGTAATCCCAGCACTTTGGGAGGCCGAGGCAGGTGGATCACGAGGTCAGGAGATCAAGACCATCCTGGTTAACACGGTGAAACCGCGTCTCTACTAAAAATACAAAAAATTAGCCGGGCCTGGTGGCACACGCCTGTAGTCCCAGCTACTTGGGAGGCTGAGGCAGGAGAATCACTTGAACCCAGGAGGCAGAGGTTGCAGTGAGCCAAGATCATGCCACTGCACTCCAGCCTGGGCGACAGAGAGAGACTCTGCCTCAAGAAAAAAAAAAAAAAGAAAAAAAGAAAGAAATATCTGAGGCTGGATAGTTAATAAAGAAAAAAGGTTTATTTGGCTTGCAATTCTGCTGGCTGGAAGACCAGACATCCGGTGAAAGCCTCAGGCTGCTTTCACTCATGGTAATAGATGAAGAGTAGCCAGTGTGTGAAAGATCTAATGCAAGAGAGGAAGGAATAAAAAGAGGCAGGAGGCAACAGGCTCTTTTTAACAAGCAGCTCTTGTGGGAACTAATAGAGTGAGACACACTTATTACTGTAAGGATGACACCAAGCCACTCATAAAGGACTTTCCCCAGTTACCCAAACACCTCCCATTAGACCCCATCTCCAACAATGGGGATCAAATTTTAACACAAGATTTGGATGGAACAACCATCCAAACTATGGCAGTGGCTATACCATTTTGCATTCCTGTAACAATGAATATGAGAATCCCTATCGCTCTGAATACTTGCTGACAATTGATATTATCAGTTTTTAGATTTTAGCTATTCTAATAAGCATATAGTAGTATCTCCTTGTTGTTTCAATTTGCATTTTCCTAGTGACAAATGTTGCTGGGCATCTTTCATATGCTTATTTGACATCTGTATATCTTCTCTGGTGAGGTGTCTGTTCAGGTCTTCTGCCCATTTTTTTTAAACTAAGTTTTTTGTTTTCTTATGTTGAGTTTTAAGAATTATTTTTATATACTAGGGACAAGTTTCTAATCAGGTATCTGTTTGCAAATATTTTCTTCCAGTTGGTGGCTTATATTTTATTCTCTTAACAATGTCTTTCACAGAGCAGAAGTTTTTAGTTTTAACAAATTTCAACTTATATACAACCATTTTTTATAGAGCATGCTTTTGGTGATGTATCTAAAAACTCATGTTGCTTTTCTCCTGTGTTATTCTAGAAGTTTTATAATTTTGCATTTTACATTTAAGTCTGTGATCCATTTTGAGTCAATCTTTGTGAAAGGTGTAAGGTCTGTGTGTAGGTTTTGTTTGTTTACGTTGTTTTTGCATTTGAGTATCCAATTTTTCCAGCACCAATGCCATTTTTAAAGACTCTTTCTTTCTCCATTGAATTGCCTTTGTGCCTTTGTCAAAAATCAGTTGACTATATTTGTCTTAATATAATTTTAACCTGTTTGTGAAATCAATCATACTCAATATTTTAATGATACAAATCTAAAAGGCATAAATGAATTCTACCAAATTTCAACATTCACTTAATGATGTATATCTTTAAGGATGCATTATGAATTTATGATGACCAGCCTCTTGCCTGTTTCTTCAGCCTCATCTCTTCATGCTCATTCCAGCCTCCTAATTCCAGCCTCCTGGCAGTCTTTCTATGTCTTTAGTATTTCCTAAGTCACGCTGAAGTTCACTGGACTTAGGGCCTAAACACTTTCTTGTGGGAGACTTTCAATTCGGTTTGCCTTTATGAGCTGAAGGACCCCTAAAGCTCACAATCTTTCCTTTTGTCTTAGGAAAATAGGTAAAATTACTTCATTTCAGCTATTAAGAAAGTTATACCAAGAAAAAAGTTTCTTTCTTCCAGATGCATTATTCATATTTTAACAAAGGAAAATAACACGTTTATAAAATTCCTATGAGAAGTCTCTCCTAAATGTGAAATGATGCTGCCTTACTGTTTAATGTTTCTATTTGGAAAACAGAAAGGGATATGATCCTTAGGGCCTCAGATGAGGAGTGGAAATGTCATACAGGATCCATTACTTCCCCTCAAGATGCAGGTTGGTTCAGACCTTACTCATCCCACCTTTGAAATAGTCACCAGAGCCTTCCTGGGCCCACGTAAGCAACTTCAGCCTGAAGTCCAGGACTCAGCAGCCATTTGGGTAACCCACCATGGCAGAGAATTGAAAGCAGTCTGAGTAATATCTGATTTTTGTCTTACATGGCTCCCCGTGTAACCATATAATAGAGGAAACTTACAAGTCTTACAAATAGAGGAAACTTACAAATCTTTTGACTGGTCTCTGTCTCCTGGCACCTTTGAACTTCCATCTCATTACATTTAAAAGAAGCAAGGTTCAGTTTAGCCCAGACAAATGGCCTGATTTGGGCCAATTCTAAGACATCTTCTCCTGGATGGCTTTTTCCCAGGCTGACTCCTTCCCATCATCCAGATCTGATTTGAAATATTACCTCCTCACCTGACCACTTTATTTCTAAAACTACCCCTTCACCTAGTCACTGTATTTCACTCATTCATAAGTCTTATCAATTTCAGAATTATTGTATTAATTTGTTTTCTGACTTTCAAACTCCTCCTCCACCTCCTGCTGGCTTTAGAATGTAAGTTTCATGAGGTCAGGAACCTTGACTGTTTGGGTTATACCTGGGACCTAGAACGTAGGTCTTTTTTTAAGTTATTGAATAACAGAACAAATGAATAAATGAATGAACGATGATAGATTATAAACCATGCATTTTTTCTAAGGAACCTAGAATAATTGGGCATTTAAATGTATTAATGAGAAGAATGTATCAAAGAGAATAAAAGATCCTTTCCAGAAGGCATTTATAAGGCAATGATGATGTTCACTTTCCTCTCATACAGTGAAAACATTGAAATCACTGCCTACCTCATACATTTGAGTATTTCAGTAATATCTCTCAGAAGGCGTTTTTCTTTTTTAGATGGAGTTTTGCTCTTTTTGCCCAGGCTGGAGTGCAATGGCACGATATCAGCTCACCACAACCTCTGCCTCCCGGGTTCAAGCAATTCTCCTGCCTCGGCCTCCCAAGTAGCTGGGATTACAGGCATATGCCACCATGCCTGGCTAATTTTGTATTTTTTTCGTAGAGATAGGGTTTCTCCATGTTGGTAAGGCTGGTCTCGAACTCCTGACCTCAGGTGATCCGCCCACCTTGGCGTCCCAAAGTGCTAGGATTACAGGTGCGAGCCACCGTGCCCGGCCAGAAGGCATACTTTCTAAGCAGGACAAAGATCCAGTAAATAAGGGTCAAAATGGTGCCTCAACTTGTGTTGTGATAAAGTCAACATGCAATTCTAAAGTACATACAAAATATTCAACAACTCTTATGCATCTAATAAAAGATATCATCTAAGAACCGGATAAGTAGCAGGAATAGATTCATAGTCATGTGATATTTGAGTTGGTGGAAACATTCAAGAGTCGATATTCTAAACCCCATAGTTTAAACAGTAGGGAATGGGGCCAAAAGGGAATATGGCTTGCCCATGTTATACACATATTTATAGGTGGCTCTGGGAACTGTTGAGCACTAGGGAATAGGGGGAACTTTAACAGCAATTTATTTACGTTGTATCAAAATAACCAGCAAATTCAGTAGTACCAAAAAAAAAAAAAAACCAACATCCTTTTTAGTTTGCCATGATGTAGACCCAACAGTTACTTGTTTTGGTAGAGTTCTTTATCAAGCTGAATGTTCCAAACACTCACAATTTTCTATCATAGTAAACAAGTCAGGGAATGCACAGTAGTGATAGCTGGACCATCTCATCACTCATATCTAATAAGTAGAGTGACTGCAATCAAACCATTAAGATATACATATTACTTCTTGAATAAATTCTTATTTCTTGGCCTTATTAAAGGAGAGAATATCATTTTATACTATACTATTTCTGAGATTATTATATGTCTTTGACTTTTATTTAGAAGGATATTGTCATGATGAAGCTATTCATTCTCTTTTAGAGACATCTTTTTATTGGTGATAGAATTCAGGATCTAGTATCCCTAGATTTAGGCAATTGTGTCCAGGAACAGTGTCAGTCATAACATAATTAATAGCCTGCAAAAAATGTGAGATCTTGTAAGTTGTTTTGGGAATCTGTCACTTCTATAGTGAAAATAAACCCAGACATAATGAAGTGATCTTGATGAATCAGAAACACTTCTCTCTCCATTTCATGTCTATTCCATTTTTACAACAGCTTTTGGTTTGATTTAATACATTATTGTAGGAGAGAGGGCCAATTAAACAGCTATAGAAAAATGAGAAATGTGTTCCTTTTAGGTTTTTATACTTTTTAAATGATATTCAGATGATTTTAATTACTACAAAAGCATTCAGATGTTAATATACTTTATATGAAAGAGAGGGATACTATTTCATCCATCCTTTTCTGCAGTGAATTTCAACTCTGAGAAAATTATTTCTTTTGATCACTCTGATAGCGTATAATAAAAGAACAATAAAACATGTGGCTCAATTACCACTGCTTCTCATCAAGCATGAATTAATGAATATAAAATTATTATTAATTGTTTTTCCTGGCTCCCTTTTCATTGGACAACAATTATACATTGCTGTATTTTGATAAGCATTTTATGTTTAACACTTTGTGAACCAGGCTTTAAGAGGAACAGAGGCATGAAATTATTACACAGAAGAATAATTCTTTGAATGTATTAACATTTGGAAAATACATGATAATCTTTTAATCTCCCTAGTTTATAGCAGTTTTCCACAACTGCCTTAAAACTTCTCTAGAATTCTGCCCCCACTTCCATGTTCCATACATCTTTTTTCTAGAAACAGTTGCTATATGCAATTAAATGGTTTAGAAGTTCAATTTCCCAATGTTAATTATACTAGTTCCTCACATGATTATTACATGTTCAATTTCTTCAGAAAAGTTTCTTAAAAATAAAATCTATAGCTTGAGCAGTTAAAAATAAATTAGTGCTGCAGAGAATATAATAGATTGTGATCACTATAATTGACAAAATTGATGTTAGTGAATTATATTTACAAACACTTCACATAAAGATTCTATGTAACTGATAGTTCATTTTATTTTTATAAGCCTTTTGTAAACATACTGCTATGTAATATGAGTATATATAACATACTAAAGAACATATCTTTTTAGTCCATAACCATTACTTCTAATGGATTATAAGTATACCCAGATTTTGAAATGTATACAAAGAAAATTTAACAAATAATAACATGTAAGCTATACATGTCATATTTTACCTGTTACCCATCAATCTGTTTCTGTTTTTAAAACACAGTTTTCAAACACTAAGTCTGTGATTAAACAATGACACTAAAATTAAATTGTTTATATGTCCTACCTAGTTCAATAGGCTTAACAAACATGTATGCATATATGTTTCCAAAGAGCTAATGATTCTAAAAACTGCTTTAGAATCAGAGAATTTGGGAAGCAAAAGGAACCCTAGAAATCATTTTATCCAATGCCCCTTGTGTTACAAATAATAGGACAGAGATCTGGAAAGTTTAGTGATTTTTGAGGTATATAAACTTTTTATGTTAACATCTTTCTGCCAAACTGTATAAGAAAATTGTTGTTAGTATTTCTTTTGCAGATGAAGAAAGCATATCTTGCTTCCTTGACAGTTCTTCGGGATGTCAATGTCTACGAATCCAAATTCTTAGAGAAAAAAAGGTGAAGAAATGAGAAACTTGGTTTAAATGGAAACCACCACTCACAGCCAACATACGGAGCAGGGATGGACCTGGCTGGAGTGTAATGCATCACTCCTTTGACACTGGAATCTGGAACCATTTGAACTTTTTATTGCTAACTCTAGCCAGAGACCAGATGGCTCTTTTTATGTGTGTGACCTTATTGAAGACAATTAGATTACTTATGCAATAACAGAATTGTTAATTTTGTACAAGAGTTGATCTTCAATGTGAAAGCTTTTCTAGATTACATATTATTAAGATAAAACTTGTAACTTTAATTCCTTAATGAGTGCTTTTCATCTTGATTTCCTTGTGCCAGAGTTATGGAATCCACTTTGCTGCAAATTAAAAGAAAAAAGACGTGCAAATTCAGTACAGAAACAAGCTCATCATTAAAATTTACAGACTATTATTCACCCAACGGGTAGTGGTAGATTAAGGATTCCACTTTTCCTTCCACTTCTGAAATAATCGCTGTGGCTTTTGGTCATACTGTGTACATGACGTACCAGATGCCTGGTATGCATATTTATGAGATGTCTGAGAGTCATCTCTTGACAACTTATATGTATTATAAAACATGCAATGCCTAGGGAGTACATATAGGGAGGAAGACATAAAAACTTCTGAGTCTTTTGGTAATCACACCCACTAAGCCACATCATGAACTCTGGGAGAATAAAAATTTTAGAGCTACCACCATGCACATCAAGACCCATTATATAACATTAGATCATCATAAGATTACTAACTCAGGAAGAAAAGTGAATATGAGAACTCTCTGGGGGAAGCAGAATATAGAAGGCAAAGTATGAATATAATTAGGTATGTTCTTGTAATTGATTCTGCAGCCTGATGGAACGTGGGTTTCTGATATTTTTTTCAGAGCATTTTCTGGATGTAGTCTCCCAGTAGCTCATTAATATCACACATTTGTCATTAAATTCCATACTTTGGATCCCAGGTAGGGGTCCCAAGTGTTCCTCTTTCATTCATTATACCAACAAGACAGCAGGAAAAAGTGCCTTTCACATAGTACCGTTGACCGTCTTCTCAATATTATTTTGGTTATTTTATCTACTTACTATTGAATCTAAAAGGAAAATGCGGATAGTAGCTTTTAAAAACCAGTCAAGTTTCACAGGACTTAATCTTGTTAATTTACCATACAATGTGCACATCTCTTAAATTAGCTTTTAAAACTTTCATATGTAGTTTATAAAAAATGTTAGTTAAAAACACAGGTCCTCAATATCCTTTTCTCACATTACATATGCTAATTAAGAGTGCAAATTATGGTAACATTGATGTTAGATGGATAGAAAACTTAAATGCTATATTTTTGTAAAACTACATAGAATTAACTAAATTTTCAATTTAAAAGTAATATTCAAAAGCATTTAATGCAATAACCAAATTTAGTTAAAAATTATACAATATTCAAGTGCAAGCATAAAATGTCATTTACGAATATGGACTTCAATTTAAACAATTATGTGAGTAGACAATAACTTTCTTGTTTGGAAAAAAACGGAAAATTTTCTAAAATAAATGACCCTTTGGTTTAGTTGTATCTATATCTAATCTGATACCAGAAGACAATACAAAAGTTGATTGATTTTACACCATTAAACAAAATACTACCATAGTATAAATATCTGCAGCTGAATTATTAACTAAATATAACTAGTAAAATGTTTTACTTTATTAAAATACATCATTTTAAATGATACCAAATGCTCATTAAGGTTAACCAAAGTGTTAAATGCTTAGAGTGTAACACTTACCCATAATTTTAGAGTAGCAAGGTTCACAGTGTATTGTCTGTCTATAAATCCAAATACTATCACCCGCTTGTAGATTTTCCAAAGGCTGCTTGCATATTTCACACTAAAGAAAAAAATACATATATAAAGTTTCCATTGTAAATGAAATCTAGATTATTAGAGGAACAGACATCATCTCTCTACCATCGAGGCACTTTTAAGGGATGTTTATCACTGAAGTTTTCTACTTCACTCACAGTGGAGTAGATATGAATGTCCAGAAATTGTTTATGCCAAGGACAAGATGACCACTCAATATCTCAAACAAACAAACAAAAAAACACAAAGGTGCATTTATTGTTTGCTAACTTAAGGGAGAGCTAGTTATGCTGTCCAGGCACAACCTCATGGAGAGAAATAAACTGCTTATCTGACTGGGTTTGAGAAAAAGTTTATTTTGAGTTGTGCTGGTTAGAAGTAGGAAAGGGCTGACCGCTGCTTCAGACCTGTCCACTGCTGATTGGCTGACCTTAAAGCATGAGGCTGTCACTGATTGGTTGGCTTTCAGAAGCAAATTTACTGAAGTAAACTGTCATTGATTAATTGGTTGTGTCTAAACCAGTTCATGTGGCTCTGTATTGCTATGGCTATAGAACAATCAGTATTTTTCTAAGAGTGTGAACATGTTTGTTTTTATTCTCGGTAATATTTTATTGAAATTACATTGAAAATAGAAATAAGTGATCTAAAATGTAATAAATGAAAATATTTCTATTTACCAAAAGCAATGATCAGGAGAATATTCTTGTTTAAATTTTTCTGCATAGTAATTTTCAATAAAAAACTATAGACTAAGTTTTGTTTAATTGAATATATTTCATAAATAAAAAACTTTGTTCTCATAACTAATTATACAACCTGGAGATTATATTTTTATATAGCATTCTGTACATTATGCCCTAAAATTGGAATGTTTTGCTCAAAATGAGTTACTATATTTCTGATTGCTATGTGTCACTTTTTGAAAGTAATAGGAATAGAAGCAATCAATTGACAAAGTATTGCATTCTTTGACTGGATTTGATCATTTGTATCAACCGTAGAATGTTGCACTAGAAAGAAACCATATATTTGGCCCATAGTTTCTCCAACTGACTGTACATTAGATTAATCAAGGAGCTTTTTAAAAATACCAATGCCCAATAATCACCTCTAAGATTCATGATTTAACTGGGGCTGGTCCCGATCATTCTATTTTTCCTCATCTCCCCAGATGATTATAATATGCAGCCAGGGTTGAGATCCACTGGTCTAGTCAACACCTCATTTTACAGTTAGGGAAACTGAGGCCAAGGTAATTCAGGTGGTTGTCCAAAGTCACACGGACATAGTTACAGGCAGAGGCAAAACTAGAACTCAGGTCTTTAGATTCCCATTTACTGCTTATGCAGTTACACCAAAAACGATGATGTTGATCCACCCAATGTTATGGTTAGAATGCAAAGAAACGTCCTATGAAAGCACAAACTATGAAGCTTTAGTCTACTAATAAAAGCTTTATTAGTATTTATTGAGCCACAATTAATTACCACTAATTATGCTCTCAAAAGCAGACTGACGTTCACCTATTGTTAAACCCATTGGTCCTAATTTCATGAGGTAAGAAACTGCTAGCTTTCTTCTCAACAATTTATTTTCTTGTTTTGATTTCATCACATATTTTCTGTAATGCATAATTTAGTAAACTGTTGCAAAAACTTTTATAAAAAGAACAAGTGGGTTTTTTTTCCCACAGATTTAAATCTCTAGGGTAAGAGTGAATAAATGTGTCAGTAATCAACTGTAAGCCTAAAGCCAAGATAGTAATTACAAACATTTGAGGTTTAGGCTGCAGAACTCAGAAATATTTAAGTAGTGTACTATTAATGTGGCTGACAGTGCTTCTGAAAGTTTTTGCTTCATCTCATGTATTACATTAAATTATTATTTTATTCCAGTTATTATGCAATTTTTTATTTAATTAAGTGAAATAAACACATCCTTACCTTAAAGCAAGTAGAATGGCAGCAAATTTGTAATTCATCTAAAATCATTTTAGTTTCTACACCCAAGGGTTTTCGGCAGTAAGTGCACATATCTCTTTCAATGACAGACCTATAGAAATGTAAGCAATTAAAAATAAATTTGCCATAATACAGAAGACAGATGTATTCCCTATAAACTCACATGGCAACGGTATATTAATTTTGATGATACTTTACTTTAGAAAATTTCACAAAAAAACAAGGAAAGTTTGGAGTTTATTTATTCTAGTAATATAATTGACTTCTAGTTTTCTCAAAATGATATCAAATAATTAACATGAGAGAAAGTCCCAAATTATTAATTCATCAGAAATCAAGAGTAAATCTGGGTGGGACAAAGATGTTCAGTTTCCTAATTGAATTAGGAAATATCTCAAGTACTCCTCAGAAGTACTAGAGGGCTTTTAATTATGAATTTACATATATCATGTTACAGATTACACGGAAAAATTATGCTGCAGATTAATATACATTTTTAACTCTCAGAATATTCAACAGGCCCAAAATAGAAATCCATTCAAGAGCACATAGATAAACTCACAAAATGATGAGTCTGTAGTGCCTGGGACTGTAGGGGCCAGAGTCACCAAAACACTCCTCTTGGTGCCACTGTAAGACTCAGGATATAAGGATACCTATCGTGACAAAATTTATACCCTCCAGCAAGACATAACCCCACCACAAATTTGATGGGGAAGAAAAGAGAGTTTTGTTATTTATTAAATAACAAATACTAAATATTTGTTAAAATAATGTTCAATGATAAATGATCTGTAGATGTGATCAGCAGAATCCAAAATATCTTGAGTCACACCAGAACCTTAAGAAAGGATCCTTTTCCTTTTTTAAGGTCTTAGGACACTCTTAAATAGCACCCTGCAGAGTATACTAGTTTCAGGATATTAGCATGCAGGCCTGACATTTCCAGAGTAGGATATGTAATGGGGTAGTGAAATTAAGCTATATTTATATAGCCCTTTATATGATATATGAAGTGCACTTTTCTCTGCACTTATATACTCACTTATTCTTCACAACATTCCTGACAAGCCACTATTATTATTTTTATCATCATTTTATTAAAAAAGAAACAGGTACAGAAGGATAAGAAACCTGCTACTATCATGAAACCAGTGAGTGGAAGAGTGAAGATGTGAATGGAGGCAGCGTGGTACCAACACAATGAGTCCAAAGATCTGATGCGCTCATTGTGTTGAAATGAGTTAGTCGTACCCAGGAACCACTAATCTATTATCAAGCCCAGAAGTAGGAGCAGAGAGGAGAGAGAATGGAAAGGAAAAGTAAGTAGGAGAAGAAAGGCATTATAGTAGATAAACTTTATCTAGCTTTATACTTTTAATCATTCTAGTAATGTCTTTCTAAGTCTCATGTATATAAATAAATATTTTCTGCTTTTATTTGTTCTGTACCCACTTGCTTATAGCTACCTAGCAAATATTTTCCTATGGATTATCCATAAACACACACACATATGTATGCATACACTTAAATTTCCCATTTAAGACTGTAAGCACTTCAAGAGTAGAAAATAGGTGCTCTATGTCCTTCATCCATTCCACAGGCACTGATCTAGGAGCTGCAAATACAAAGAGTGGTGAGCCAGTCTCCTCTGACAAGATGCTCTTTCCACTGGGGAAACTAGATGCATGATATAACATGCATGATTGTTTCCAGGGCTTGGGTTGAAATGCAGAGTGGAATACAGGTACGTGGACAGACTGAGGAGAACAGAGCCAAGAGAACCACTAACCCCTGGGGTGAAGTCAGGAAAGCCTTGTCAGAAAAAAGTGCCATCTGCATTGTTTGAAGAGGAAAGAGCTCTCAAGGTGGGCTTGGTGGGGTGGGGATGAGGGGTTGGTGGAGGAATTCCAAGCAGAGTGAACAGAACATACAAACTTGCTACTCTGGGAGGGTGTTTGGAGGGATTCAGCATCAGTGAATATTCTGCTGGAGCAGGTTCTGAAGGGCCATGGAGAATGTGCAAAAGATGTTGGACTTTATCTGGTTACATGGGAAACCACTTTAAACAGGATTGACGTGCTTAAATAAGAACTGTAAGAACATCGCCAATTTCACACACTATCAACAGCAAAAGGTTGTATAACTGACTGGTCTCATGGAGAACTGACTTCTGCGCTGATGACTAGGAAAAATTTCAAAGCCATTTTAGGAATAGGGTTTAAAGTCTTTCTATTAACAGCAATACTTTTATGGAGAATGTTTTCCTCCCTTAATAATAGAAATACAAGCTCAGGAAATGCACTGATGTTGGTACTATCTTTATTAAGATCATACAGTTAGTCAAAGATCTTTTTGAAGCATTGTGAAAACCTAGATCTGTTTTTTTTAATTGGCTATCCAGATGATATCTGTAGTTCTAATGCTGGTGTCAATGACTTTACTACTCAAAGAGGTGTGACTTACAGGCAAGACACTCAGCAAAGCATTGCTAATGGGCAAAATATTGGAAAAGTGACAAGAAAGGGATATAATTTTGATACCTGGTTCACCCATGTTTCCCTTAGAAAATGGAACATAGGTTCATGTTTTTTTAAAAAAAATTTACTGAGTACACATTAGGTACCAAGCACTGTGTTAGAAGCTGAGACTACATATGAAAATAAAATATCTCTACCTTGAGTGAGTCATATCTCCAGCCCCTGCTATAAAGAAACAACATCAGTGGAACATCAGACATTTGCATGATGGCTTGTTTCCAGGGCTTGGGTTGAAATACTAATTATTTATTTTCATTTACTTCACTGGAAATCTGCATGCCATACTCTCATAAGTGTCACCTAGGTGCTCCACTGAACATTGAATGGTAAAAGAGGATCACTAACAGCAAAAACCTGGAACAGGGCCAGCTCACCAGCACTCAATCAATACTCATCATGACTCCACTCCTGGGAACTGAGCTTGGGCCCAGAGTGGGTCACAGCAGCACATCTGCATGGCTGTTTGTAAGCCAAGAAGGCTGCAGAAAAGCACAAGAAGGGGGGATTGATGGCACAGTCTATGGATGCAATGAAGCCTAAACGCTAATAATGTGGCAGTCCTGGGGCCTCCTGGGGATCACCAGCAGCAGAGGGGCTGGCCTGGGAGGCAGCTGTAAGGCACAGAAAGGTCTTTTGATAATATGCATCAAAATCAGACAGCAGCAACAGCCAGGAATCCAAGAAACAAATTCCTGGATGCAGAAGTTGTTACTGAGTTGCACTTTGGTCTGCCCATGCACATACATGACAAGAAACATCAGCAGAACCATCTCCAAGTACAAAGAACAGCAAGAAATATATATATATATATATTTATTTATATATGTATATATATTTATATATGTATATATGTTTATATATGTATATATGTTTATATATGTATATATGTTTATATATGTATATATATTTATATATATGTATATATATTTATATATATGTGTGTGTGCCTGTGTGTGTGTATATATATATATATATGTGTGTGTGTGTCTGTATGTGTGTACTTTTTATGTATGGAAATAAAGACATACTC
Source organism: Homo sapiens (assembly GCF_000001405.40). NCBI lineage: Eukaryota > Metazoa > Chordata > Mammalia > Primates > Hominidae > Homo > Homo sapiens. The sequence goes on along the minus strand of NC_000013.11, from coordinate 77,637,196 downwards.
ACCTATCAGAAGTTGAATAAACAGTTTGTATGTATTTTCCAGAGATATTCTCCTGATATCCATCCTTGGGTGATTTACTAGGAACAAAATATATGGACATGTGAGAATCAGGTGATTTTCCTTATGTAGATAAGAAAACACACTCACACCACCTCATGAAGCCTCATAATATTTTATCTTTGTGTATGTTACAAGCCAGGATGATGTACTGACACATTTTTTTAATCTGTAGAAATATTGATACACAAGTCACCCCCAATTTGACATATATACCAAAATAAATAGAGAGTAGGGTAAGGAATACAGGAACAAGTGTGAGCAGGAAAAGAAGTCCTCATCTTTCATGAAATTTATACTTGCACCTCATCTGTTTACTAAAGAAAGCTACACAGAATGTAAAGTAGATAAAGAAAATACACAAAGCACAAACAGGGCAAGCACACAGACACATACACCATTCACAGAGAGAAACTGAGATTCTTGAACTTTTAGAAAAAGCATGCAAAATTTTTATTTTTACTTGAATATATCCAAGAAAGAATAATTTAGAATGAAAGCAAAGAAGTATGATTTTTAAAAGTCTTCTGTTTTCTATTATGTAGATTATCCCAGCTTTTAAACACCACTATTTCCTGGAGACAAATAAAATCTGTAATGTCCTAACCAGCTGGCTCCCATAATTGCTTTCCAAGTACTTATGCTATCTGGGCATATATTAAGAATAGGAGCAATATGTTTCTTTATTTCATACAATGATTGATAACCACATGGCTCTCACTTGGGATTTTTAAATGAGAAACCTATCTTTCTCTCCAAATTTCCTGGAGGCAGACTGCTGTCAGAACTAAAATCTACTTTATGAAACACATAATCCCACAATGCTACAAAAAAATTTGCACATATTTATGGAGGATGCATGTCATGATTCCCATTTTATTGATGAGGAAACTTGAGACTGGAAGAGTAACATCACTAGGGCTACACGGTTAGGAAACGACAAAGAAGGATTCAACCTCAAATATGACTCTTGGGACTCCATACTGTACCACGCTGCCTGTCAATGTAGATTTTAGGAAACTTAAGGATGTCTGAGGTACATCACCATCCTTGCTAGGTTAAGGTACAGGAGGCAACGAATCCTTTCAGAGGCTTCCGGTCAACAGACTATTAGCCTGATATGCCACAATATTAATATTATCTTTTTATAATGATGGTGCTCAAACTCTGATGCACATCAGGAACATCTGAAGAGTTTGTTAAAACACAGGTTGCTGGGCCTGAGCTGCAGAGTTTCTGATCTAGCAGGCAGGAGTGAGGCCAAAGAATTTTTATTTCTAGAAAGTTCCCAGGTCATGCTGATGATGCTGGCCCAGAGACTATGCTTTGAGAATTACTGTTCTATATGTGAACATGATACACATATGTACAGGGTATTCAGTATATACTTTTAAAAAAATAAACCATAGTCATCATAATAAAATAAGTATGCTTTAGTCTTGGTACTTCCATGAATCAAGTTAATATTATTTTATCCATCTATCCTATTAATTAAAAAATCTCGAGTACGATGTTTAGCAGAATATTCCTATTCTTAAATAAATCATTCATTATTCAAAAATCAATATTGTGGTTGTTTGGCATTAGTTCCCATAAGAAATTTCTTTAAAAATCAAAATGTATTGATGTGACATCCCATAAGGATAAAAATGTGAGAGATTATTATGTAAATATAGAAAAAAAGCCTATGTTATTGTTCGCCAATATTTCACGCCTTGCCTTCACTATGATACTATTTGATATTACTCATCTTTTTATCAATTTATTTCAGATTTAGTAACTCCTTAGTGTTTTAAAATTTACTCTGAAGTGTTTTAACTTTTAGTTTAATTGAAAGACAGCAGAAATCACTGACTTGAACACGCCAGAGAGTGAGAATTGGATTAAGGAAAAAATCAATATTGATGTTGCATTTTACAAGGTAAATTATGCATGGGTTTGAGAAACCTTTTTTGGAAGATCGCTTACCTCCTGACATGTATTGAATTTCCTGGATCCCCATCACGACTGCCATCCACACAGAAGCTTCCCTGAATACTCTTCTCTTAGACCTCTTTGAAATGGGCTTAGCTTAACATATGGGTCATGTATACCAGCATTTGTGTGCCCCACCATTATTGTACTTCACAATTGGGACAATTCTTGTTTTATATTCCTTGAAAACCAAATGAATTATTGAGCCCTGACCTTGGTTTACATTTTCCTCAATATCCATCACTCCAAGCAGCAGATTTCAATTGAAACATCAATATCCCATAACTTGGGCCAAGATAGCACTACTCAAATTTATACCCCTTATTTTAGATTGGCAGTAAACAAAAGTAGATAGAATTATTTAATTCAAGTGGAACTCCAAATTAGTATAGGAATAGTTGTGCATTTTATAAAGCTTATTTTAACCATATAGTTATATACATTTATGTGAGAACTTTCAAATGGCAACCCTATTATGTATACATGTGTTATACTAAAATATTACTGAGTTCATCTAATGACTATAATTATTTATAGCCCAAGTACATAATATCAGAAACATTATAGAGAATTATATATATATAGAACTCAATGTACTTATAAACGGTCTTCTATTTGAAAGAAGCACACTCTAAAACAATAGCATCTCTTATTAAACATAGATCCTTTCAAAATTATAAAATGAAGCAATATATTTGAAATAAATTTTGAATACCTATTCTCCACATATGTCCTTGTGTACACAACAGTATCCTGTGGTCCTGCCTGCTTGGCTCCAGTGTTAGAGCTGCAAAACAAATCATTTTACTTCATGATTAAAGTTTATTTGCAAGGATAATAAAAACAAGGCTATTTTCTAATTCAATGCAAAATGTAATGAATATATGTTCCTTCTGAACTATAACTTTGAAACATGAATGTTAGAGTGGTATTAACACAGCACTGCAAAAATTTTTTTGTCTTCCATTTTGTTTTTAACTTCCACTGTCTTGGTTTACTTCCTAAGCATTGTTACAAAACTTGATCACTCAGTAATTCTTTTGTAGAATATGAGGATTATTTTTGAATATTTGTATAATATGTTCTAGTGTCTCTTTCTCTGATGTCTCATTCATATTTCCAAACCATAACTTTCTTCATAAACCTCAAACCAAAAGTAGACCTTAATTAGCTATCATGACAATATCTGATTTAATGAAGCCTTTAGATCTACCTAAAGAATGTCACACTAATGTCACCATCATGCTTTTTTAAATTGTAGACTTTTTAAGGGAAAATCACGTTTGATAATTTCCTATCCAGATGTCACACAATGACACATTCACTAACTCAATACTTTTGTGTAAAGCTGTTTATGCAGGTAACCCCACATAAAATTAGAAATTTCTGCATTTCAAAGAAAGGGTCAAGTTGGATGTGGGGTATTTTTATAAACAAAGGGAGAATAGTCCTGTCATTTATTCTGCAGTTGACTGCGGTACCTGAGATTGTTCCTGGCTTCATAAGAATGGGAAGCAATTCTTGTGGACTGGTTGTGTAGAGCATTGGTGAACCCATTGACTTGGGCATCTAGCCTCAGAAAGCAAACACAAGTATTTTGCACTTCAAATCAAGGTCACTAGAAGTTTTTTGTGTTATTAAAGTTCTTCTCAATTAACATTATTTTACAATGTGACTCTCTTTGTGTTTGCCTGGCTTCTTTTTTTTTTTTTTTTTTTTTTTTGAGGCGGAGTCTCGCTCTGTCGCCCAGGCCGGACTGCGGACTGCAGTGGCGCAATCTCGGCTCACTGCAAGCTCCGCTTCCCGGGTTCACGCCATTCTCCTGCCTCAGCCTCCCGAGTAGCTGGGACTACAGGCGCCCGCCACCGCGCCCGGCTAATTTTTTGTATTTTTAGTAGAGACGGGGTTTCACCTTGTTAGCCAGGATGGTCTCGATCTCCTGACCTCATGATCCACCCGCCTCGGCCTCCCAAAGTGCTGGGATTACAGGCGTGAGCCACCGCGCCCGGCCTGTGTTTGCCTGGCTTCTACACAGATAACACAAATAGAATGCATGTGCTATTTTACTCCCTCTACGGAAACCTCTGCCTTACCTTTAAGAATAATCTATAGGTATGTGCCACATTAGCTAACATTGCCCTTTTTATCAAGGACAGAAATCATCTGAAATTGGTTCCTGTAACATTTTCACACCAGCAATGCCATTATAGAAAGCTTCCCATGTACAATATATCTAAGAATTTATCAATTGAATGAAAATGATCCAGAGGTTGCTTTGAGAAATTCCAGTCTTCATTTTGGTTTTAATGGAAGGCAATATTTTGAAGATGGCAGAAGAACTCTGACCTAGATTTCTGCTAATCTAAAAATATCATGATGCTTAACAAAATGTTGGCATATTTGCTTTCTCCTATGGAAGAGAGGAGATTCTTAATGCAAAAATAGAGAAAATTTAAGCTCCTTTTCCTCCTCCATGTTAGTAAACTCTGACATAGAAGAGACATGAAAACCTAAATGAGGGTTTAGGTCTTAATCAAGCCTTATCATTCTCAAACAGGCTGATAAAGCTCTTAAAGAAGAGGAAAGCATTTGTTCACATATTATCTCTGGCATACAGAAAACCGTCTGGTTTTAAGGCAGATGTTTCACAAAACATACAGGTGAGCTAAAATTTTATTAAGTGATGAGAAGGTGGAATTAATATTATTAGGTTTTCTAACACGATTATTAGAATATGTCATCCCAAGAATAACAAACCTAGCTAAGAATCACTTGAAAATGTTCAGATCATATAATATACAATACAAAACCCAACTTTAAGAAGTAGACAGCGTCAAAGGACAAAGATTATCAGTGAGTTTGAAATGCATTTGCACTGTCCTCAGCAATAGAATATCAAAAATCACCAGTTTGCAAAATCCACAAACAGGAGAGATAAGTGATTTGCCAACAGTACTGTTATGGACTGAGATGTATTCCCCCAAAATTTACATGTTTAAGCCATAACCTTCAATGTGACTATATTAGGAGACAGGGTTAATAAGGAGGTAATAAAGGTCATCTGAGGTTATGGGGGTGGGGCCTTAATGCCACAGAACTGGAATCCTCATAAGAAGAGGAAGAGCTACCAGAGATATCTTACCTTCTGTGTACAGAGGAAAGGCCATGTGAGTACACAGTGAGAAGGTGGCCATCTGCAAGCCAGTAAGAGAGGCCTCACCAAAACCAACCCTGATAGGACCTTGCTCTTGGCCTTCCAGCCTCCAGAGCTGTGAGAAAATAAATGTCCATTGTCTAAGCCACCCAGTCTGTGGTATTTTGTTATGGCAGCCCATGCTGACTAATACTGGTATCTTTTCCCAGTTGTGTTTATAATGTGATTAATGACAATGCCTTCATGGAAGATTTAATTTTTATAACTGTGAACAAAAACCAAATGCTAGGTTTGGAATGTGGGACAACAAATTCTTTGATGGATTTTGCTCCTCATGTAGACTTTGAGGATGATAATTTTAAAAAATAAACCATTATTTTGGAGTAATTTTAAATGTACAGAAAAATTCCAAAGATGACACAGAAAGTCCCTGTACACCTTCACCCAGATTCCCTTAAGGTTAATATGTAATTATAACAGAGCTGTCAAACCTACAGAATTAATATTTGTACCATACTATGAACTAAACTACAGATTCATGTCTCACTGGTTTTTACATTGGTGACTTTTTTCTGCTTCAGAATCCAATCCAGGATATCATATCTACATATCCATCATGTCTCTTTGGTCTCCTAGGGTCTGTGATAGTCTGGAAGTCTTTGTTTTTCATGGGATAGTGATAGATTTTACAACAAAAAATGTATCTTCATTGACAATAAGTTGTAAGACTAATTTTTTGTTATTTAGAACCATAGGAATAGAGTTGGAGAGACAACACTTTGGCAACCAACAAAACAGCCCATAGTGCCTTTTAAAATGCTACTGGGCCCCCTATCCAGATATTCTAATTTAACTGGTTTGGGGTACAGCTTGGTCACTAGGAACCTTTAAAGCTCTCCAGTGAGCTCCTTATACAGTCAAGGTAGAGAATCACTGCCTTAGAGGTTGGGAAGTCCAACCTCTTACTCAAAAGAGCATTGATTCTCAAAGTATAGTCCCTAGAATAGCAGGTGATTCTGATGTACCCAAAAGTTTGGGAAACAGCGCAACAGAAGAACCTCTGCCAAATTATTCCTCTCAAATGCCTTGAATAATCCTTGTAAAGGAGAACTCATGACTCATAGCATATGTCACTTGATGGCTTAATTGTTAGGAAGTTATCCTCCATTGAAACAAATTGCTGAATTGTAATTTCCAATCAATGGTCACAGTTTTGTTTCTTAATTAAGCAATGACTCTACAAATACAAACCCAAACATTGTATTGAATCTTATAGAATTCCAAATGGATTTACACTTGAGAAAATGTTCCCTACAGTGTAAATTCACCTTGAAAATTTACCTAAAACCCTCATACACTGCGTGTGAGAATATAAAATGATATGGCTGCTTTGAAAACAGTCTAGCAGTTCCTCAAATGGTTAAACATAGAATTACTCTACAATCCAGCAATTTCACTCCTGGTATACACCTAAGAGAAATAAAAACACATTTTCACACAAAAACTCATATATGAATGTTCATAGCAACATTAATCAAAATAGTGAATTAAAACCCAATAGTGAAACAATCCAAATGTCATCAGGTGATGAATAGATAAACAAAATTGTCTGGCCACCTTATAATTATATGATTTGAAAAGTATGACAGTTCTTAAAATCTGTGAAATGGCCCTATGAAATTAATTTCACTCATAGTCACAAACCATTTAGTTTAGGGAAAGACTCTATCATTTAGAATTGAAATAAAAATATTTAAACTTATTCCTGTTGAGTCTCAGAAAAAGTACCCCAAAATGAAAGCCTCAGAAGCAGCCTCAGAAGCAAAAGTTTTTCTCTGACCTTCTCCTGCCCTCCTGTCTCAGTCTCATTCTCCCCCAAGGATAGCCAAAGAAACTAGAATCCCTCTTCCCCAAGGCAAGAATCCTTCCTTCCCCAAGGAAACCAAAACCTGTTTTCCCCAAAGCCAGCCATAAAACCTAAAATTATTACTCTACCTATCCCTTCACCTTTCTTTCTATGTAAAAACTGGCCATAAAGAAATTCTCTGACATCCCTTGCTTGACTGTAGGTCATAAGACCCCCAATCCAGAAGAATTCTGCCCCATGCCCAGAAGGAAGGAATGCATGCTCAAGAGGTTAAGAATAATCTAGGGACACAGGCCTTGCTGGCTTTCCCCACTCAGTCTCTTGCCATTAGGTCATATTATTTTTGTCCAATCATATTTCTACATGGCTCTCTGTACTTTATTGAACCTAAGTATTAAATGGACAATTTCCCCTGTATCTTTGGGTCTTCATTCTGAAGTCTCCGATCACAGGTTAAATAAATTTGTATGCCTTTTCTCTAATTACTCTGCCTTTTGGGAGTTGATTTTTCAGCAAAGCTTCAGAGGGCAAAGTGGAACTTTCCCCTTGGCTCCTACCTTCTTAATGAAACGAATTAGAAAACATGTATTTGCTTGGGCATCCAATTACGATGTAAAGTGAATACATTCATAAAATGAATCACCTTTCAGTTTAGCAGATTTTCCCGGGACTCTTATTTAGATTTTTAATTTGATTCATTAAAGTACCTGAAGAGGTAGAGTAAGCTGAAGTTACAAAGAAGCCAAAACTGAGAGGCAAAAAAAAATTTGGTTATCAAACAGAAGAGCAGAGAATAAGGAAGCCAACAGGTACAGGGAAGGGCAGGAAAAAGATGGACAAAAGCCAATACTCAGTGACTAGCTGAGTTCCACTAGTAACAAAGAACTCTAGTTAATGTCCAAGGGTTCCAAACTTCTTCAGGTCAAGAATGGACAATCTCCCAAGTGAAATCTCTCTGAGGCCCGGCAATGCCACCATTCCTGCTCTTGAACTTCCATGAAATTCCATTTCCTCATTAATCCCATTTCATGAACAAGTCCAATGGAACTGGAATGCTTCTCAAATCAAATGGGAAATTCCTTAATTTTACGTAATAATTTACTTGTAATTTTTTTTACCCCAATCACTTCCAAATAATACTTGAATGAGATTAGTTAAATGTAAGCCCAGTCCTATTCCCAAAATAGTACATGTGTTTCCAGGATAAGCAGATTCTACTGAAAATTTATCCTCCCTCATTCTCTCAAAGACTTTCTCAAGGTCACAAACAGAAGGAAGAAGATGTTTTGGGGAACTAAAGGAATGGAAAGAAACTATCTACCTGTCGGATTCAGGAACCTTTTAGAGACAGTATGAAAAAGAAAAATGAGCCAGCTCTTTTCCTAGCTTTTCCATTCTCTGCAGATGAAATCACAATATCATTTCTTTTCATAGAAAAAATAATAGAAAAGGTAACTGCACCTATGAAGGTGAAAATGGTAACCTATTGTGTTTAGTATTCCCTCATATGTAGGGGTAAGAATTGCTAAACATGGAAAAGTTAATTTTTCCTGAAGTATACAGTCTGTGACAAAAATGAAGTATAGCTCCTGTCCTAACCTTTCTTGTAATGGCCAATAAGGTATCACAGTTTTAAAGCTATTATACCCTATGGTGTAAAGAAATTTCAAAATTAGGTCCTGTTTTGTGGCTGTGATAAATTCATGCATTCTTTTAGCACTAGGCATCCAAGGAAGAGATTCCCAGAGTGCTTTCTGCACTGCTGAGAGCTTACCAAGCAACAGTAAGTAAAAATAAATCTTCACAGCCCCAAAGAGCTTTGAATTTCCATGATGCCATTTACACTAAGCAATAGAACAGCAGGCCCTGAGTCAGAAATTCTAACAGAATAAGAATTATATTAATTTTTCCCTATTAGCTATTAAGCACCTTGTAAATTTTTGTATTTGGATGATATATATATATATATATATACACACACATATATATACACACATATACATACACACTATCCAAATTATATATTACATAATATATAATATTATATTTTATATATATAATCTTCTAAGGCTATACAATATATGCAGATGCATATAGAACTCATAAGAAAAAAAGTGAATTATAATAAGCTTTACCTTCCATTCTTGTTTTCAGACACATGAGAATTTACTTCAATTAAATTTTCCAGGTTCTGGTCTCTAAGGAAAAAAATATATATATATGAATAATTACAACATAATGATAGGAAATAAGAAAATGCTAAAACATTTTAAAATCAGTACATAATCTTAGACACAGTCATTTGTGGTCTATCAGGCTATGGGAGATTGAATATCTGACATTGAGCTATTTGATCCATACAACTCATGGATCAAACATGGAAGTATGGATTACATTGTGAAAGAGAAATAAAGAACTAACTTTTTGGAAGGTTTGGGAAATCTGATCTGAAAAGAAATCACTAATTTTTATTAACATTCAGCTCATTTTTCTTTTTTTATTGATGTATAATAGATGTACAAAGTTTCAGGGTATGTGTGATTTAATACATTCATATAATTTGTAAAGATCAAATTAGTGTACTTGGGCTATCTATCACCTTAAATGTTTATCTTTTCTTTATGCTAGACTTATTCAATGTCTTCTCATCTAGTTATTTGGAAATGTACAATCAATAATTGTAAACTATAGTCACCCTACTGATCTAATACTAGGTCTTATTTCTTTTATCAAACTGTATATTTGTACCCATTAATCGACTTCTTTTCAGCTAACATTTAATGAGTACTATCTTTGTGTCATGAAGTACTGTGTTTTCACAAGGATTATCTCATTCAGATCTCACAAAAGTCCTGCAGAACAGCATCTGGAGCTCAGACAGGCAAAGTAAATTTTCCAAGGCCAATTAATTAATTTTTGGAAGAGTCAAGATTTGAGATGATGCCATCTGCCCACCTGAAATCAATTCTTAGATGTTTACCCAGAGACCTTATTTAGGCTTTGGGGATCACAGAAACAAGGGAAATCAACACAAAATTTGAATAAATAATTCATTATGTGGGGGAAGAAATGGAGTAATTTGATTCTTATATCTTGGGCTGCATTAATGATTTGACACCCTTTCATGAGATACAAGATCCTCTGGTATGTTATTTATATATTAGGTATAACATTGATAGTTCTGTTTTTTTTCTTTTGTCATGAGTTAGGAAACGTCTTTGTTAATAGGGTAGGAGCACTGTTTAGAAGTCAAAACAATGAGACCCAGTTTTTTCCTTACTTCTGTGACCAAGTTAGTCAACCATTCTAAACTTTATTTTGCTTATTAGTCTGTTTCCACACTGCTATAGAGAACTGCCTGAGACTAGGTAATTTATGAAGAAAAGAGGCTTAATTGACTTACAGTTCCATATGGCTGGGGAGGCTCCAGGAAACTTACAATCATGGCAGAAGGTGAAGGAGAAACAAGTACGTTCTTCATAAGACTTCATAAGGCTGCCAGGGGGAACCACCAAACACTTTTAAACTATCAGATCTCATGGAAACTCACTGGCTCTCATGAGAACAGCATGGAGGAAACTGTCCCCATGATCCAATCACCTCCCACTAGGTCCCTCCCTTGACATGTGGAGATGTGGAGATTATAATTTGAGATAGTATTTGGGTGGGGACACAGAGCCAAACCATATCATTTTGTAAAGAAGGACACTAATGTCCAAACTCATACAATTGTGGTGAGAATGAGTAAGTTAATGTAAATAAAATTCATGGCACAATGATATGGTTTGTGTCCCCACCCAAATGTCACCTTGAATTGTAATAATCCCTATGTGTCAAGGGTGGAGCCAGGTGTAGATAATTGAATCATGGGAGTGGTTGTCCCCTCACTATTCCTGTGGTAGTGAACAAGTCCTAAGAGATCTGATGGTTTTATAAATGGGAATTCTCCTAAACAAGCTCTCTTGCCTGCCACCACATAAGACATACTTTTGCTCCTCCTTCACCTTCCACCATGATTGTGAGACTCCCCAGCCACGTAAAACTGTGAGTCCATTAAACCTCTTTTTATTTATAAATTACCCAGTCTTGGATATGTCTTTATTGGCAGCATGAGAACAGACTAATACACACAATGACTACAGTTGTGGGTGAATTGAATAAGCATAAAAAAATAGTAGTGCTGTGATCCTGCAGTTGACACTATTGATTCCACATTTTGAGAGGCCACTTTCACATTTTTATTTCTGTCCTAAATTGTCACATCTTTGGAATTAACTGTTTTTTAAAAATCTCCCCTCTCGTGGTCCTAAATAGTGGGTTCAAATAAGGTTATTATACATGGAATCAGTATACAGACTCTCACTCACAAATATTGATAAAGATGCAAAATATGATAAAATGTTCTCATGTTTATGTGGGGTGAGATTTAATACTCTTTTTACATAACATCCAAGCCAACAATAATTGGTAAAATATGCAAATTCGGCAGCATTCCCTAGCCATACTTAAGCCTCACATTTAAAACACTAACTGCATACTTTTGAAACTGTAGAAATTAGGGTAAATTACTTTTTAAATGAGTAACAGTGGAACTATGCCAATTAATGCAGGTAAAAAGTACTAGGTTTCAGAAGTAGCTCGGAAGTATCAAATTATTGGCTCTGCAGTCCAAATGATGTAAAATTCAAAACTGAATTCTTCTACATAACTGCAAGAACTGAGTACGATAATCTCCCAGCATAAATCCTGCAAATTTAGAAATAGTGACTAGAGTCTTGGGATTTGCCTAATCCTTGAAGGTCTCCACTAATTACTAGAGCCATCTTCTTGGCATAAGGGGTCACTAAACTATCTTAACAACCTTGGCCATTAAGAGATCTTCCCCTTAATGTTTTAAGTAATACTTTACTCAATATTTGGGGATAGTGGAATAAAATTAAAGGGAATATCATGGTATTCCATGATCCAATTTCTTAGGAATGTCAAACTGGGATGGTGGGCAGTGGTAAATAGTGGAAGATCATCAGGAGGTGTGACTCTTGGGCAATTAGAACTTTGTTTCTCAAAGTGATTCCCCTTCCAGTGCTAATGCCAGAGGAACTGAGTGCTAGTTTTATAGGGAAACTGGTGGCTTTCATTACAACTTGAGAGTAGGGTCACATTACTATGGCCTAACATGGCCTTGCACATAGTAGCTGCTCCATAAATATTTGTGGAATTAATTTAAATTATCTTTTCTTTTTTGGGGAAACCTCTTACAACCTTATCCAGCTCTGAGAAAAGATATTAAAGGAACCCCAGGGGGAAAGTATTAGCCTAGACCATTAACCTTTAAGATTGTCTGGTCTGTCTATATCTAGGGACATAGTGTCCACCATATCCATGTGGAAAAAAGACCAGTAAAGCCAGTTATGGACATTTCACCTCCATCTCTGTCCATCACCCAGGACCTGCCTTACTTCACCCCTGAATGCATATATTATATTTCTTTCCTTTTTGCACAGCTCTCAGTCCTGGCTTTGTTTAATTACCTTTGGAGCTTGTTCTGGGTTGAACTATGTACTCCCCCAAATTCATATGTTGAAGTCCTAACCCCCAATAGCTCAGAATGTGAACTTATTTAGAGATAAGCGTCCTCAGAGGTAATCAAGTTACAAACAGTGTCTCTGTAGGAGGAAATTTGGACTCAGACACACACAGAGGGAAGACAAAGTGAGGACATAAAGTGAAGACAGTTTTCTGGCTGGGCGCGGTGGTTCACGTCTGTAATCCCAGCACTCTGGGAGGCTGAGGTGGGTGGATCACGAGGCCAGGAGTTCCAGACCAGCCTGACCAACATGGTGAAACCCCGTCTCTACTAAAAATACAAAAATTAGCTGAGCGTGGTGGCAGGTGCCTGTAATCCCAGCTACTCAGGAGGCTGAGGCAGGAGAATTGTGTGAACTGGGGGAGGAGGAGGCTGCAGTCAGTCGAGATCCCACCATTGCACTCCAGCCTGGGCAAGAGGGTGAGACTCCATCTCAAAAAAAAAAAAAAAAAAAAAAGTGAAGACAAGTTTTCCACAAGCCAAGGAGAGAGGCCTGGCACAGATACTTCTCTTTTGGCCTCAGAAGGAACCAACTCCGTGGAAGGAACCAACCCTGCTGACAGCTTGATCTTGGACTTCTGCCCTCCAGAACTGTGAAACAACAAATATTTGTCTTTAAGCCACCCAGTCTGTGGTAGTTTGTTATGCAGCCCTAACAAATAAATACAGGTCTGCTTCTACCCTCACAACGTGATTACATATATTTTCTCAGCCTTATGGTGGACATCTTTAACTCCTCCTGGCTTTCAACTCCTGGCTGCTATAGATACTGCATAATCCTGGCTGCTGTAGACACTGCCCACCTGTCGCTCAACCTCTTTGTACCTTAGTTTTCATGAGGGGGAGAAAGAATGGTTTGGATCTGAGAAAGGAGAAGAAGCCAGAATCTTAAAAATCCAACAACTACAGATAGATAACTCAAAATTGCAACCTATGCGTGCCTTCAAAGAAACACATTTCCAAAGTGGTACAGTTGCAAATCACCAAATAAACTATATTATTATTTGTTTCATAACATTTTTCTTATTTTATTAAACAGTACCACATATCAGGTTTGGTAGAGTAATATTTATTTATTTATTTATTTAAGGCTAGTCAAGTGAAGCAATGGAAGTGGAAAAGGAACAAAGAAATCTATAACTGGTGTGAGTAGTTAGTAGTAAACACCACCGCACTCAGAGCAGCCAAGATTTTAATCTGAATAATCTACACTAATATTTAATGCAAAATAGAAAGTTCTAGAAGAAGAAAAGTACAAAGTGTGTATTTACTTTGGCTATTCACTCTGATTGATGCCATCAGCTACATTTGAAGATCCAGTAAAAGAAGCACAGACTGCTCATAAGCTTTCCAAGTTAAAGGAGATAAAAATAAATTTTTGTTCTTTAATTAAGACCACATCAATTGCATAATGACTTTTACACTGTGGTGTAAGATGAAGAACTGTGAGTCAACTGTGAAAAATAGATTTTTATAGAAATGCAGCCAAATGCTGCAGGGTTAAGCAGAGGCTTGATTCCAAACCCCTTTCATGGCGGTGGTGTAGAAGGCAGGCAGACCTTACAATTTTATACATTTATGGGCAGGTGGAATTAATTCTAAGAAAATCACCAACTTTCTGTAGTTACAGAAAATTATTGAAGAGCAAATTGTTACTGACTATTGCAACTAATAATGTTTTTTGTTTGTTTTTTAGAGACTGGGGTCTAGCTCTGTCTCCCAGGCTCGAGTGTAATGGTGCTGTCATAGCTCACTGCAGTCTCGAACTCCTGGACTCAAGCAATCTTCCCGTCTTAGCTTCCCAAGTAACTGGGACTACCGGTGCATGCCATCGCACCCAGCTAAATTTTTTAATTTTTGTAGAGACAGGGACTCACCATGCTAACCAGGCTGGTCTCAAACTCCTGGCCTCAAGCCATCCTCTCACCTCAGCCTCCCAAAGTACCAGAATTACAGGTACCTGGCCTAATAATGTTTTTAAAATGTAGACTGCAGAATATTTGGGGAGAAATGTGAGTTATCTATGAGCTAAAGCCACAGGACAATTTTTGAGTATAAGAATTTATCCATGTTATAATAATGTCATTTATTTTCTACTACCACATCAAAAACTATAACACTGTCTTACAAAGCAGGTGAAGGAAAAAAATAGAGATTCTGGGGACCCAGGAATTATGTCTCTTACTATATAACTTTTCCTAGGAGAAGCTCTGCATATGAGAAACTTATTAGCTCACTCCTAACTGTTCTTCCTTTCTCATGTGGGTGTGGGAGGTATTTATTAATAGGCAGCAATATGTTTCTCACCATACAGTTCATTTAAATTGTTTTTATAGAGTATCAAACACATTTACAAAATTAAGAGTCTTCATATAAAAAATTTACTATGGTATTCCTTTTACGCCAGGAACTAAATCTTAGGCATTAGGCGTTAGTTCAAAAGGAATATCTGTCTTTCTGAAAGGAATAGAGAATACAGTGAAAGAAGTGGTATAATTCCTCAACTTATTAACATAGCAAAATGGGCCCAACTCTTTAGAGTTTTACATATTTTTATAATTCTTTTCAGTGAGGGAGTCTTAAAGATTTAGTATTAAAGAAATTAACAGGTCCACAGAGCAGTTAGGCAATTTGGGTATTTTAAAAATAAGATGCGACCAAGAATTTCAGTGGCTCCCATTCACTATAGTTTATTGAGATTATGTCATGAGCAAAAGATAGTCATTGGCTCAAGCAAGGAGACCAGTCATAAGAAATCTGATTCTTTTCATCTTGTTTCACTCATAGGGGCTCAGAATGTCACAGCTGGAAGGCTAGACTTTCTCTAAGTGGACTATCATAAGGCATTGATGAGTTTGAGATTTATCCTTAATATGTGCTAAATACCTAACATGTACCAGGCATTGCATTATGCATTACAGGTAAATAAATAAACAAGGCAGACCCCGTAGTTACCCTTAAAGACCTTATAGTCAAAAAGGGATGATTAAATAATAACTCCCTCGAAGAGACCAATGTTATGGGCCAGAAAAGACAGCTCGAGAACATCTAGAAGAAGCATCTGATGCACACATGGTGGGTCAGGGGGGCTTCCCAGAGCCTGAGTGAGAGACACCTAAGCTGATACCTAAAGGATAAGTAGAAGTTAGCCAAGCAATCGCGATGAAGGAGGAGTGAGGAGTATGCAAGTTAGAGGGTGTGTGGGTGGGGTTTGCTTTTGGGTGGAGAACGATAATAGACGGGAGTGGGAAAGCCCATAGATGCCAGATCGTGGTGGGCTTAGAGACCAGGTTAAGGAGGAGCATGGCCATTATGCAATGGCAATGGGGAGCCACAGAAGGAGTTTAATCAGAATGACATGATCAGATTTGTGTCTTGGGAAAATCACTCTACAGGGTGGCGAATGGATTGAAGGGCAGAAGGGGAGATTGGCAGCAGAGGGGCAAGTTAGGAGGCTGAACAATAATCTGGACTACAGTACCAGTGGGTATGATGAACTGTCTTGGACCACTCCCTGAGATTATTAGGTGATGCATCCAAAGTGACTGATTGATTGATTATGGGGAATGAAACACCAGAAAGCGTCAAGGTTGTCCCCAAGTTTATGTTAACAGAAATATGAAAAATATGCAATAGATAGTTAGGAAGGAACTCTTCTCTTTTTGGAATACTAAAAACTTGGGGATGTCTTAACAAATAGGAAATCCTTAAGAAGATGGAAGTATAATGCCACAAACAGTTAAGAGTATTTTTTTTTCTACTTTAGATGAAAGATGCCTTTTCTAACTATAAAGGCCTTGGTGTCACTAGATGCTTTTCAATATTCATTCAGGAGCAGAAATGTAGCATTTTAATAATCAGTCTAACACAGTTTATAGGCTACCAATAACTGAATATCTCTCTTTGACACTGGTTGATGAAAATGTGAAACTGTTACTGCTACAAGTCATGCAAATTCTTACTGAATAAATGAAAATTTTGTGCACATCTGTATTTGTTCCTAGAAGAAGCTCAAGGATGCCTGCTTACATTCTGATCAATGGCTGTAGTTTGTTCAGCCCCTAACTGTGAATTAAATATACAGCTGCTGGAAATGTCAGCAAAGTCAGATGAAAGAACTCTGATTCACTGCTGTTATACTATTAAATAATCAGGGCTTGTGTCACACTGAATTGATATAACAGTGCCTTGTGACTGTTCTTCCTACTGGGAGGCACTTTTAAAATACTCTCCTTTATAGCTGCATTAAAATCAAGAGGGCAGAATGGAGAGATTACAGATACGGGTGGCTGAACCAATTGAATGAAGTCACTTTTTTCAAATAGATGGTTCAGTCTTTCCTGTTTGTCTGCTTTGTGATAATTCTTGAACATCCCAGTGGATTCTCATCAAATCTGGCATACTACTAAAGAATAATTAGACATAGGTTAGGTTAGATTTGTGAATCAAGCCGCCATCTTAAAACCACACGATAGCCAATATTTTTAAATTTTTTTATAGTAATCATATCTGTATACGGAAAATGTCGTCTTTCTACGGATATTTCATTAGGAGTTGCTGAAATACAAACTAACTTTCTACCAAATTGGCCTCTTCTAATAAAACAAAAGGCAAAAAACTCTTCTGAGAAAGTTACCATTGTCAACAAAGCACAATTGTCAGAGGGACTGAGGGAGGAAAGGGGTTGGGAAGGGGATGTGGGAGAGAAAGTGAGAGACTACATTTTTCACTGTCAGTTATTACATAACATGGTTATTGAACCTAACCACTTTCAACATGATTGGAAACTTCCTAAAACTGTTACTGATAAAAAGAAAAATCCACCCAACAAATGCCACTATAAAGAAAGGGCTCTACTTAACAAAGATATTTCCGTACGATTCTCAGCAGGAGGGTCCACTGTTATTTCAGCTTTTAGAAAATCCGCATGCAGCAAGTGTTTTCTTTCCTCACTGTCATTTTAACAATAATCCTCCAGAATAAATACATCTGATCATACTCCTTTAACTGTGTATGAGCAGAAGAGGAGCATAGGGAATATGAAGAATGGAAAGAAGAAGAGAGTCTGAGCTGATTTAACCACAGATCCTTTGTTTTTCCTCTAGGTAATGACATCAGAAGTCCCTGAGTTTAAGTCCAGGGTGTACTTTCTTTCTTGAAAAGGTTATTTAGTACCTTTGAACTATAGTTTCTTCTTCTACAAAATAGGGTGCATGAATAGATTTCTCATGGGATTGTTGTGAAGATTAAATGTACATGAATTGCCAGTCACATCCTGGGTGCTGAAGAAGTAACAAAACAGCAAGAAGAAAATATGATACTCAGATAGAAAACAAGCTAGGAGATGTAAGAGTTAGGCCAATCATGGATTATACTTTCCTCTTTCTCCTAATGGGTTCAAAGTACTTTGTCATATGTTAATTTCTTTTTGTCCTTTCAGAATACTGGACTACTATTTCCAGCAATGTATTTATTATGACACAATTTCAGGTCAGCAGAGCAATTTGGACTTCTGATACAGTGCACTCTTTTGCATTATCTATTACTTATTATCCATTAATAAAGCAGTTTATGTGAAAGATATCAAATAGCAAATTATAAGATATCTTAAGAGTGTAAAATGGAAGCTTATGGTTAAAATTGGTAATATTTTGTGGGCCCACACTAGCTGTGGATCTAGGATTTTGAAGATCATGAATATTCTTTCCAATGTTCTACAGACATGCATTCTAATGTTTTACAGACATCCACATAAACCATTAGTTTGGTTCAACTTCTTCAAAATATCTTTTTTCCTTATTTAATTGTATTCATGTCTTTCATTTCAGTCCTAAAACTCTATTTTCTGTAGACAACAAGCACTAAGTTGTTTTAGTGCAAATAAGAAGCCCAGAACTAATTTCAAAATAGTGCGATTGATTTCAGAAGAGTGCAGTATGTTTCCTTGTTTCCTTGTTGACAGGAGTCACATGGGATGGGTCATAAATGTAGCCTCATTTAACACACCAAAGAAAACTAAAAGCCTTCAAAAGAAAGGCAGGAAGGAAGAAAGGAGAAAAGAAGAAAAGAAAAAAAGGATAGGAAGGAGTGGTTCATGCCTGTAATCCCAGCAATTTAGGAGGCTGAGGCAGGAGGACTGCCTGAGCCCAGAAATTTGAGACCACCCTGGGCAACTAGTAAGACCCCATCTCTAAAAAAAATTTTAAAAAATTTGCTGGGCATGATGGTGCACACCTGTAGTCCCAGTTACTCAGGAGGCTGAGGCAGGAGGACCACCTGAACCCAGGATTTTGAGTCTGCAGTGAGCTATGATTGTGCTACTGTGCCCCAGCCTGGGTGATAGAATGAAATGGAAGGAAGGAAGGAAAGAAAGAAAAAAGGGAGGAAGGGAGGAAAGGAGTAAGGGAGGAAGGGAGGGAGGCAGGGAGGCAAGGAGGGAGGGAGAAGTTCCTACCCTAGAAACTTGTAAACATGTCAAGATAGTCAAGGTCATTTACCGATTAGTGTTTCTAAGAGCTGAAGGTTTCACTTTAATAAGATTGTCCAAGTCTTGGCTGTTTAAAAGAGAGAGAGAAAAAAGTTCAGATTGGTAATAGATTTTGGGGTTGTGCTAGGTCAATAAAGCAACATTATAAATCCACTTCATCCAGGGCAACAGACAAATAAAAACATGAATTGACTGCTTCTATATATACCTCTGATTGTTTCTGATTACTGCAGGATTTACTTTGATGAGGTTAGCAAGATCTTGGTTTCTTTAAATCAAAAAATAAAATGAGAGCAGGTTAATTTTGAAGTTCTTTTGGTAATATCATTAAGGTTATAAATCTGCTTGAAGTAATAATAAAACTTAATATTCTTTCTGACCCAAGTACATTAAAACAACATAGTTTTATTACCTTTGGTTGTTTGTGAAAATTTCAGGATTCACCTTGATGAGTTTATCAAGATCTTGTTTTCTTTAAGTGGAAAAAATATTAAAGCAACTTGGGTTAGAGATAATCACAGGTTTAAGGTAATTGGAAATGGATAGAAAGGATAATAGTATGAGACATATTATTTTAGTATTGACTAACTATGAAATACGTTTTCTAACCAATTTAGGGGATGAAGAATTATGCTTTATCAGAAGAAAACTTACTCTAATTTCATACATTTTCTTGTCAGAGCCTATCTACAAGGGCAGGCTGGTTAAGTCACCATAGCAAACATCTGATAACTGACAATTGTTCATTCTTGAATGTATTAACATTATGAAGATACCAGCTGATTTTAATATCCTTATTTTTAAAATCAGGTTCACCAACTAAGGACATCACTTTTTTAAAAGATAAACTCTAAATTGAGGATTATTCTTCATATAAAGCTTAGCAAAGACAGGTCCAGCAATCCATCAAAATTGTGACTTTTCTTCCCTCTTTGATGGCTGAAAAACTGAATTAAACTCAGCTGTTCATAGTAAAATGAGTTACATACTCTGAAAACTGTCCGCTCCCATTTGAAACTCTTCCTGTTTCTCTTCTCAGCCACAGAACAGTGTTTCCTCTTATATAGTTTGCTATAATTCACTGCCTCAGCATAACCCCTTGTTTTAAGGGTGGGAAAGTAGTGATTTTTCAAAGTGTTCTTCTGAACTGATTTTCATACTTATTCAGAGAAATACATGGCAGTTGCCATGGCAAGAGACTGCAGAACTGACAAAACCTGCTTCCAGTACCATCTGGGAAACAATCTAGATGTACCTCTCACCACAACAATGCTTTTTCCTTATATAAAAATAAAATACATTTTATTCCTCAAAAAAAAAAAAAAAAAGGATGCAAGTTTAGGGACCAAAAGAGCGTCATTTAGAGATGAATCATCAGAAGGTCTGAGAAAAGGTCTGCATTTTCTTCCCCAGCCTTCAACCTTTCAATAGAATGTTCAGGGCTTCATTTAGTTTGATTTATTCTTCATGGTTCTCACCTCTCCATAGTCTATGGAAAGGCTCTAACTGAATTTTCACTGTTTTGAGCTTTCTTCTATGATAATATTTTCAATTGAACATAATAAATTGATATCTATAAATACTATTAAAAGAATGATTGATATATTAAAACTATCCACAACATAATCTCCTTATGTAAATTGATGGCAAAATCTGTCATAAAACTAAACTGTGTCAGAAAGACAACAGTCTTTAAAATGAGGTTAATTTCACATATTATTATAAAATACAAAGAATAAAACTTTGTAGAGTGGACAGTATGCTCAAAAGCCACACTTTTAAAAAAATATAAAATTAATCACAATATTGGTTAGTGTAACCACAGATAATATTTATGTGTCAGCATAATTAAGAGTAAGTAACATAAAAAAAATCCACTAGAACTTCCATTTTCACTGTCCTACTGAGCACAAAAATTTAATTTACCTAATAATCTAGAACAATGATATTCTAACCACTGTTACATAAAGCCCAATAAGAAATACATTTTACATCACAGCCTAATACTGTCTTTTACAGACAGCCACACACACACACACACACACACACACACACACACACACACAGAGAGACATAAATTTTATGAAATAATATTCTTACTACCTAAGAACTCTCATATTTTCTATTCAGTTCATTCTATTAATTTAAGAAAAAATGCTGATTGCCATTCACTAAATTAATGACAAGACCCTTTAATGAGTTGCAACCCACATTTGAGAAACATTAGCTTAGAAAACATAAATATATGCTATATTCTACCACCACTCCTATAAAGGCAACACCATGTGTTAATAAAACAAAAATCTCAGGAACAGTCCTGAATTGCCTTGATTGATAGCATCATGCAATTTTTGAAAACAACAAATATGTAGATTTTTTTCAGGCCCTAGATCCTGCAAAACATGCATGTCTAAATTTTATCCAGGAAAATGTAACATTTTTTCTCTCAAGTTACTGTTTTTATTTATTTAGCTTTAAGAATGTAGTAAAGGATACATTAGGATATTTAGGTTATTATTACTTTCATGCAGTTTAAAAGCTGTAAAGTGTTTTGCAATCATTTGCACATTTGTGCCATTGTAATCTATGAAGTATTCTTTCAAGTAACCCTGTGAGAACAGTAAAAAACACGTCCTGGCCATCCCACAGCAAGAGCAACACTCCTATCTTTACAGCCTTTGCTATTTTCCAAGGCGCTTAATTAATTTTTATATATTTTAAGATCAAAGTCTGTGTGCTGTGATGTAAAGACTAGGAGTTGGGCTGGGAGTTAGAAGATCTCACAGATGACTGTGAGATTTTTGCCCCTGGTCTCAGTATTCTCATCTGTAAATGAGGAGATTGAATTGGATAATCTCCAAGGCTCTGTCCATCTCCAAACATCTCCTCCTAGGACTCCATGAATATGAATTTTACTGCCTCTGTGTTTATTAATTAGCTCTTCAATATGTCTCCTTTTTAAGAATGCAACTCATGGACAATATATTCTATATTCAGCAAGCAGTACATGAGTGCTCCAAAATGTAATATATTAAACTGACAACCTATTATTGTCTTGGTGTAACATCTCTGTGCCCCTGGTACATAATTAGCTTTAATCTATGTTAATTGCCTGCTGTTAATAAGATTGACTATGTCTACTGAATTCTCTTTTTGGCTTCCACAACCTATAATTATACCTAATGTACAAGTAATGATACCTAGTTGTAAGCTGTGAACCCAGTAGGTGCTCAGTAATTATTCACTGCCTAAGAGATCATAGAACTACTATCAGTCTTCCACTAATTTTTTCTGTGGCCCTGGTCAAATCACTTAACCTTTCTGAGTCTTAATTTCCTCTTCTGCAAAATAAATAGATTCATCTGGAACATTGGTTTTCAAAATTATTCAAACTACTGGGCCAAGATATCTTAAGGTTCATTCCCTCCATCTCTAAAATTTTACAATTTGTATACGTACCAACAAAACTTAAAAGGGGAAATCGTAAAACCATTCTTAAGATATATTTATATATAAAACAGTAATGTGTAATGATATTGTCTTCATTTAACCATAGACAAAAAGTGAGTTTCATTATCTCACTGACATTACTTCAAGAATTATTAAACTTTAGGTCCATAACCTTGCTGAGCACAGTAAATCTCTAAAGAATAATGAACCTCATAAAATTTCCACTGACTACCAGAAAACTCTTCTAAAATGAGGTGAATGATACTGCTAATGATTAGTCTAATGGAAGTGTCTAGGTCTTTTTTTAAAAATTAACTACCATTAATAAATTATCATCAATTTCAAAGACAAAAGTATTAATTTCAATACCACACAAAACAAAACAGCAGCAGCTCCTAGACTACCTATGCTCCTTCCTGCCCATTTGTCCAATCGCTCTGCTCAATTCCTTTACTGGAGGCTTAGAGAAGAGAAAGCACCGCCATACATTGTTTCCAGCTGCCTCTCTTTCTTGCAATTAACAAATACTGAGACATCTAGGTTTCCACCTGTGATGATATTTTGAGATTTATATTCAATTTGCCCATAGAATAATTCTAAATCATTTCTATTAATTTTGGGTTTACTTAACGAGAAACACAACAAAAATCACATCCATCTCTTACCCATCAGTGTTTTTGACAGCTTTGGGGCTGACATTAATATGTTCATCAAGACCTTGTTCACTGCTAAAACAAAATTAGAGGAAATCGGCAAATTTCATACTGGCATTTCTTTTTTGTTTTGACAGGTGCAAGTCATTCAATAGAATCCTAGTGTAAGAACTCATAAGTTTACTGAGTTTCCAATTTATATATATTAGTTACCATTTTTTTAATCCTCACAACAACTCAATGACATCAATATTAATACCACCGCCCCCACCCCCACAGCCTTTATAAACAAAGATATTGCATTTCAGAGGGATTAAGGCACTCCCTGGGGCCAGATACCTAAGTGACTGAGGGTGAACCAAAATTCCAACCACAGCAACTGGACCCCAAACTCCACACTCCTTTCCCCAACACCCTCCCTCTGTCTCATGTTCATAACAATCCCTTACATCCACACAATGCTTTTCACCAACATTATCTTCACAATAATTCAATGAGTGATAGCTTGGGGTTTCTCTGCCATGCTTTTATTAACTTTTGTCCAGTGTATAATGGATCTTAATTTCTCAAGAACAGAAGTAAATTCAATGTCATGCAAAAAATATTCTAATCAAGTATAAGAATATTATGTTGTCAGTTTTTTCACAAGTCATTTAAATATTAATCCCTGTGTTTGTGAGAGAACAGAAAGCCAATATTTACTGATTTGTTCAGTTTTATGAACTTGTAATTTATTAACTATGAACTTATGGTTATAATCTAGTTATGCTGTTACTGTGTCAAAGGAATTTCTAAAGTAGTAATTACACAGAATTAGCTTCAATATTATAATTTTCTACAATAATATAATGAAATTAATGAAAGCAATAATAGACAGAAAAATCTATCCAGCATTATTACACATCAACTTGTTCTCATTTTTTTTCATGTCCCCTTTCAAAATGTCTTTAGTTAAATAATTAATCTTATTTTGGGGCATAAATTGGTGACTTGCTAAGAAGTCTTCAATTATCTTAATAAGTTTACCTTTTGTTTGCTGAAGGGATCACTTTGATAAGATTTTCCAAGTCTTGGTTCCTAAAAAAATGTTAAGTTTCAATAGCTAAGTCAACTAAAATCCAATAATTTGTATATTTTTTCAACCTTAATATTAATCAAATGACCTGCTAATTTAAAACTTCATCTATACTTAAACTTTTAGCCTTATGTAAAAACAGGTGGCTACTATCAATTCATTTCCTGCATACATTTGTATATATGATAATTTAATTTAGTTTTATTTTTGTTTCTTTCACGTTAACCTCAAAGCAGAATTATTCCTAAACTCTTTATTTTACATACTTTATCTGTGTGGCAGAATTAAACCATTTATAATATTTTCTGGAGGTTACAATGCACGAGAGAAAATATAAAATTATTCATTATTTCCATATGTTCCTTGCTCCCCTTCTTCCAAAACAAACAAAAACTGAGATAATTTGTAAAAAAAAAAAAAAAAAAAAAAAAAAAAAGAAAAGAAAAAAGCAGTTATTTTCTGATTCTAAGTTATGCAGGTAATATATACAATATAAATATGTAATATTCACACTACCCCAAGATATTAAATCAGTTCAGAATCACACTTCGTGCAAAGCTGAATTAGCACAAGCAAGGCCTCAGTTTATAGAATTTATGTTTTTATTGTAAACACTCACATAGGCATTCATAGCTCTACAGAGATGCTGCTGTTATCACAGTAATGATACCAACCCTAACACCAAAAGACCTGAATAGGAAACCTAATTTGTTACACTTTATTATTGGATGATATGTTATATATCCTGGAGAGAAAATAATTGGAAAGACTTTTAACTAATCTTTAGGACTAATCTATAGGTTCATTTTATCATGTGTGTATCCTTCCATGTAAATTACTATATTCTATTACATTGAACTGTTTAAAATTGCCATTTTGTTGGTCAAAAATAATTGAATGTCAGTAATTTCATAAGATTCAACATCCCAGGAAAATTTATTTGCTATCTTCTTCACATTGAGTAGTGCTATGGGGATTTAACAATGAAGAAAAAATTTTAAGAGTAATAATAATACTAACAGATAATGTCTAATAAGCACTTGAACACTAAGTGTTTCACGAGCATGATCATATTTAATTTTTCTAGAAACTCAGGAAGAAATTAACTCT
This sequence comes from Homo sapiens, assembly GCF_000001405.40. Lineage (NCBI taxonomy): Eukaryota > Metazoa > Chordata > Mammalia > Primates > Hominidae > Homo > Homo sapiens. Next base: position 77,611,782 of record NC_000013.11, on the reverse strand, counting down.
TACAATCCTGATTTTACATATAAAAAAGCTGAGGCTTAAAGGAGGTTGAGCAATTTGTCCAAGACTACACAGCTAGCAAAAGGTTCTCTGAAGTAAAAAATCTCACTACCAAGTAAAAGAAATAAACACACAACCAAATGCAATACATGGCAGCATGTGGCTACCAAAATACAGCCTCAAACATTATAAAGGAAAGGCCATGAATAATCAGGCCATCTTCACCTTTAGAAACTAAGTCATCTCGGGAGAGGGAAAAGGCAACTGTCTTTCACTGAATCTTAATGTGTAATGTAATTATATGGTCTCTGGATTTAGTGTCTGACCCTCAACAGTAAAAATAAAGTTGTATTAATATATGCCAAATCAGGGGGGTGGTAGGCTGTATTTCAGAATCCACTTCAACTACAGTCAGATTTGATTCTCTTCACACACTCAAATAAAATACTGTGTAGTCTAGGGGTCAGCAAACTATGGCCCTCAAGCTAAATCCAACTTGCAGCCTGCTTTTGTAAATAAAGTTTTATTGAAACGCAGCCATGCCCATTTGTTCACAAGGTACTTATGGCTGCTTTCACACTATTGGCAGAGATGACTAGTTAAAAACAGAGACAATTTTGTCCCTGAAACCAGAACTATTTACTATTAGCCCATTAAGAAAAAGTTGCTGACCTCTGATCTAGTCTAAATAAGCTCTGTTTGATAGCCACATACTGTAAAATAGACTGTATTCCAATATGCAAAATAAGATAGGAAATCTGCTGAGAGAAGATATATATCTTGGTATCTTTTACATCTAACTCATGTTCAAATTCATATAACAATATACATTTACAAGCTGGTGGTTTTGTTATGCCTGTTTATTTACTTAACATGATATGTCTTAGAGAAGATTCTTTCTATATAAAAGACAAATGTCATTCTTTTTTCAATGAACTGAGAATAATTTTTTAAATGACTTCCCAACTTTAAGAGTTGTTTGGGTGGTAGACAATAAGAAGAGAGGTAATACATGATGGAAGAAGAAGGAGGAAGAATTTTTTATCATATGAAGACCTTTCTTTAGGCTACTTAGATCAGGGAAATTGTTTGGGGTGATGTTTTGTCTCATGGGGAATCCCCATTAATTTTTAAGGAAATCCTCAGCATGGAACACAATCTCATACTGGTAAGAGATCATTCCTGTCTTTCAAGGAATTCTCTCTCCTGTGGCCAGAGAGCCTTCGGTAAGTGCTTGAACACTAGATTTCTGACACAGGATCTGTTGATTTGGGTCCCATCATTGGTTGTCTCTATGGCGGGACAATGCAATTTATCTTTTTTTTTTTTTTTTTTTGACGGAGTCTTGCTCTGTTGCCCAGGCTGGAGTGCAGTGGTGCCATCTCGGCTCACTGCAACCTCCACCTCCTGGGTTCATGTCATTCTCCTGCCTCAGCCTCCCGAGTAGCTGAGACTACAGGCACCCACCACCACGCCCAGCTAAATTTTTGTATTTTTAGTAGAGACAGGGTTTCACCATGTTAGCCAGGATGGTCTCCATCTCCTGACCTTGTGATCCTCCCGCCTCGGCCTCCTAAACTGTTGGGATTACAGGCGTAAGCCACCGCACAATTTGTCATGTTTTTAAGCTCATTAGGAAAAAAAAAGGGGGGAGAAATAGAGAGTTCCATAAACCTTACCCTTGGTTAGTTCTGTTTCTTTCAGGAGTCACTTTAATGAGGCTGTCGAGACTTTGGCCCCTTAAAAACATAGAAAATCAGATCAGTGGTAGATTTAAATCGAATGGTTTCAAGTGTTTGTTAAAACAGAGAAATACTTTTATTATAAAATATTTATTAAAATAATAAAATTAGAGATCATCTCAGAGGGCTGGGGGTTTTCAGTGTTGACTGTGAATATACATATAGGGACCTAACTAAAACTGGAGAGAAATAATGAATAAGAACTTCTAGAAAATGTTTGATGTCCCAGGCCAGGCACTCTTCTTAGTGATTTACATGATTTGTCTAATTTAATACTCACATCAATCCTATGACATAGGAAGTATTATTATTCCAGTTTCATAGAGGGAATAACTGAGACACAGAAACCTTAAGTAATTTTCCCACATGGCTAGTGGTAACAGAGGTGGGATTTAAAGCTAGGTAATCTGGCTGCAGAATGCCTGTGCCTTACCATGACACCAAATATCTATTGGAACTTAGTAACTGAATTAGATTTGGGAGTGTTGGGAGAGCTCCTCGTGCAATTTCCTCACTTTGAGGATGAGAAACTGAAGCCCAAACAGAAGTGACTAGTTTGAGCACACACAGGTAAGAGGAGCAGAGACAGGCCTAGACCCACAACTATGGGGTCCGGTCTAGTTCTCTTTCCCCTCTACTGTGTCATCCATCCCTTCTGCTTAAGAAAAATAATAAATCAATGAATAAAAATGTCCAGTCCATCCTGGGAAAACAACTTTATTCCTGATTAGTCAAAGAGTAATTGTCTCATTGTATCAGAAATTGGTTGACCAAAATTTTTAACATTTCAGATGTGAGGTAGCAGGGTTACATGGCTTTTCTTGAAGGATCATTGGGTTCAGCATCAGTCAGCTGAAATGATGCTTTAATTATACTTTTAGGCATTGGTTACTATGAAACAAAAAAGGGAGCTTATTAAATCTTACCCTTCAGTACTTTTTTCTGTTCCTGGATACACTTTGATGAAGTTATTAAGGTCTTTGGAACTTCAAACAAAAAAACAAAAAACATCATAAATAAAAATGGAATTAAATCAATTGACTGTTTTGATTTAAAGGATACATGTACTCAAGATAAATTTTACTACTGAGTTTTGAGATAAATTGATACCAGTCTATGCTCTTAATTTAAAAGACTAAAATTTGTGACCTTCTTACCAATCACTGGTACACTGACGTAGTTTCTCATTTACCCCCAAAATAAAACCATATAATTAGAGCAAGACGCCATTAAAAAAAATCAGTTAATGAGTGACATAATAATCTGCTAAAAATTCTCACCTGGTTCCCCTAAGCATTCCATCTAATGCTATAGCTATAACTAAACTGTTTTGTTAATAATTTCCATTTGTAATATCCTTTTTTAAAAAATGGATTTTATACCCATTATTTCATTCATTCCTAACAACTATCAAGTGACAAAAAACAAATATTATTATTATTTTGGCATGGTGTTTGGCTCTGTCGTCCAGGCTGGAGTGCAGTGGCTGGATCTTGGCTCATTGTAACTTCCACCTCCTGGGTTCAAACGATTCTCCTGTCGCAGCCTCCCAAGTAGCTGGGACTATAGGTGCACTCCACCATGCCTGGCTAATTTTTGTATTTTTTATAGAGACACGGTTTCACTATGTTGGACAGGCTGGACTTGAACTCCTGACCTCAAGTAATCCGCCCACCTTGGCCTCCCAAAGTGCTGGGATTACAGGCGTGAGCCACCGTACCCGGCCAAACAAACATTATGATCCTCAGTTTATAACTAAGGAGGCTGAAGCTCAGCATTCAAGGGACTTGTTCAAAGACACCAAGCTGGTAAGTAATGGGGTTCAGCCTTTCTGATCCCAATCCAAAGGTTTTTCAACACATCTTCTTTCCTGAGTGCCACAAATGGATGGGGAAGGGGAAGGAAGAGAGGTAAGACATAGTCCTCACCCTTGGTTACTTCTCTTTACTTCAGGGGTCACTTTGATGAGATTATCAAGGCTCTGGCCCCTTTAAAACATTGAAGAAATGGTTAAGATTGACAACACGTAACAATGGTAGACTGACAACAAGAAGATAAAGCTATTTCATTAAAACTCAGAAGCAGTGTAAACACTCATTGAGATCATGCCAAGGAGTTGAAGACTGAAGATTGTGAAAGGTGACTATGCAGAAATATGTAGGGATTTGTACATCTCTGAAATTCATTGAGACTCAGGGAGACATTATTTTAGTCTCAGAGCCATTTGGCCGCTAGCAAGTATTGCACTAGGATTCTCTCTACTTTTATGCACTAAATGCTATAATTTTAGCTTTTACCAGGTGCACAAAACATTTTTGTAACTTAGTCTATATACTTGTTTCATGAAGCATTCCAGAAGGCATACTCTTTATCAACCTCCAACATGTAGAACTTTAAAACCAGCTTTGGAGAATCCATATTTTGTAAAATTGGCATTCATTAGCAGATTTTTCTATCACAAAACTGTATTAAGATTAATACACCAATTTGTTAAAAATCTATGATATGCAACCCAGTAATTGCTTCTGGTACTTATAACTGTGTGTTAGAATTATGAATTTTGACTAGTTGTTTTTGGCAACAAACAATAGGAATATTAAAATCTACAGAGTTCTGAAACATTCTGAAATGTAAGATATATCAACTGTAATATCTTACAGTAATATCAAGTGTAATATAAAGCGCAACACTCTGGCTGGGCATGGTGGCTCATTCCTGCAATCCCAGCATTTTGGAAGGCCAAGGTGGGAGGATCGCTTGAGCCCAGGAGATCCAGGCCAGACTGGGCAACATAGCAAGATCCTGTCTCCATAATCTTTTTTTTTTAATTAGCCTGGAATGGTGGTGCACACCTGTGGCTCCAGCTACTCATGTGGCTCATGTGGCTGAGGTGAGAAGATCCCCATGAGCCCAGGCTTTTGAGGCTGCAGTGAGCTGTGATTGCACCACTGCACTCCAGCCTGGGACACAGCAAGACCCTGTCTCAGAAATAAATAAAATAAAATAAAGTTCCACACAGTCATCGAAAACATTTTAGTAGTTTCTTGTTACTCTTTAGTATACCTCGGTTTCTGATCTTAGTGGAATTTTGCTTTTCTCCCTGCATCTACATGTGTTTTCTGCATACCAGTAGCAGCAGTAAATGCTGCTCTGATCTACAGAGGATGCCACATAGGGAAAAGAACATCCACAGGAAGGCCCTTTTGCACTGCGTCTCCATACTCTGTGACCCTATTAAGGCCATGTCCAAAAGCCCCAAGGTTTTGTCTATACAACATCAAAGATACAGATATTTGGAAGCAACTAGATGCTGATTCAAGTCTTTTATTTGTATCCAGATGTCTGAGAATGTGATATACAGACTCAAAGTAGCAATAATTACTTTGAACCTTTGTTATGCAAATAATGAAACAATTAGCCCCACAGAAGCAATCACTCTACTCCAGATTACTCCTTGTTGATTTCTGCCTAAATGAAGTATGTGGGATTTGAAGGCCAGTGACTGAGAAAAATAAAATTCCCAGGATGCTATTTCCAGACTTGTGTATTCAAAAAAATAACAAAACGGTAAGCATTACAACCCTCCCTTTGTGTTGGTTGTGGGGTTTGCTTTAACTATATTTTTAGGACTTGATCTCTTTAAATTTTAAATAAAGCACATAATAAAATAAGGTTATTTAAATCTCATAGTTCATAGAGTCCATAAGGACTACGCATACGCTCACACACACAGGTACATACACATCCATGTACATATGCACCCATATACACAAAAAAGCACATGTGTATATTTACACATATGCTCATGAAAACACAAGCATTGTGCATACATATGCAATCACACATGCACAACGTACACACATGCAATGCACACACTCATGTACATGGGAAATTACATATGCATATAGACACATACATGTAGACATGCACATGAATGCACACATGCACAAAAACATTTGTATGCATGCATACACACATAAGCATAGGCATGCCCACATATACACACACCAACATATGAAGAAAAATAAGTCCTGATTGGAAATATTATTATTTTTTCAGACAGAGTCTCACTCTGTCGCCCAGGCTGGAGTGGTGGTGGCACCATCTCGGCTCACTGCAACCTCTGCCTCCCAGGTTCAAGCAATTCTCCTGCCTCAGCCTCCCGAGTAGTTGGGACGCCCAGCTAACTTTTTGTATTTTTAATAGAGACAGGGTTTCGCTGTGTTAGCCAGGATGGTCTCGATCCCCTGACCTCGTGATCCACCCGCCTCGGCCTCCCAAAGTGCTTGGATTACAGGCTTGAGCCACTGTGCTCGGCCTGGAAATATTATTTTTAATAAAAATTAGAAAAGGAACATGGATTTTTCTTGGCAAGTGGAAATTAAATATTTGAACACTAAATTATGATGAAAATATAATTCACCTGAATCTTTATTGTTGCAACAATTACTTGTATCTACTATGTGCCCGGCATGAGAATCTTATGATCCCTCTTTTGTAAATGAGTAAATTGAGGCACAGGGAGATAGTCAGCAAGTGATAGAGCCAGAATTCGAATATAGGATTTTTGGATTCCCTGCTCGCACTGACTACCTCAGGTTACCTCCCTGAACCACCCAGGTACTGAAGGAAATCAATGTTTTCTTCTCCTTCTATGGGTTGCAAGCTTGTGCAAGCCTTGAATTCATTGGGTCGCGGTGCCTCTGACCATGCCACACCTACACAAACAGGGCAGGCATGATAGTGTGCACACCAGCTTTTCAACTAACTGAGCCTTTGCCCTCCCAACTGGGCCTGCAGGCATCCATGACACATGTTAGAATCAACAAATAATATTATGAACTGAGCTAACTGAATGGAAAGGAATTCAAGGGAAACTACATGCAATTGTTTGTTACTGTTTCCAGCAACATGCCAACAAATTCAGTTTCAAAAATATTCCATCTGCCTTATAAGAAATAAAAAGCAAGAAGACATAAGCTCTCCAGACTTACTTGACAACTCATGGGTAAGAACAAAGCACACTTTGTTAAGCTCTTCATCTTTAAATACACACCACACTACATGCACATACACACACTACACACAAATATCCCACACACACGCATGTAGATCATACATATACACATCCACACATGCATTTATACATACGCACACACACTTATACACACACGCATTTATACACACATGCACTTAAATCCACATACTACTGATACACATGCACATACACTCACATACACTACTTACATCTACATACATATGCACTTACACATACATACATGCACTTATATATAAACACACTACTTATATATTCACACACATACACTAATACATGTACTCACACTAGCATACAAAGAAATAAATCATTTAGTTCAGTAGAGAAGGTCAGCCCAAATTCCCATTTAATTTCTCAAAATTATTTGATAACAAACTTTGCCCAAGAATAAAATGCAGGAGATTTAGGTGTATCACTTGCACAGAATTACTTACTATGAAGTGTTTAGAGAAAAAAGAGCTCAGTTTGTTTTGGCCTGAATTCCAATTTACTGTCCTGAATACCAACACTCAGAATTCTAACGTCCTTCTAAATGCCAAACAAAGGGGAGGGGGGAGCTTTAAATGTCTTACCTCGTAATATTTTTATTTGTTTCAGGATCCACTTTAATAAGCCCATCAAGGTCTTTTTTTCTTTGAAAAAGGAAATTAATTTTAATGAATGATGTTAAAGTATAGCACTAATCAGATGAATAATGGCTGGAAAAATTAAGAAGTGGTAAATATACAAGTTTTCTATATCAATGTAAATTTTTAAAGCTCTAAAAGAAAATGAAAATATTCTCTTACAACTTGAGCTGAAGACCATTTAATGTTGCTTATTTGTTAGTAATAAATCTGATTTTTTGTTTTGTTCTCAGAATACCTAAGTATATATGAAACTTGTTATTTAACAAAATCAACTTTGCCTTCAGATACATCTTGTTAGAACACTCCAAGCAGGCAGCATTGAAATAACAATTAAGTTAGATTGAGTTCTACACTGGACCCAGACAGTATAAATTTCTACTCAATAAACTGGATACAATTGCCTATTCTGTTTTAAGTAGTAAGAATAATGTTGAGAATCATAATTTCATAATAACAAGAATTTAACAATATTAACTAAAAGAATAAGAACGTATGCTTTCATATAAACTCAGCTATCTACCTAGCCCAAACCCTTTTAAATATCATTTCCTTCAGAGTAGATCATGGATCATGGTGAGCAAAAAAGGGCAAGAAAAAACAGCTCACGTAGTAGAAAAATTAATGATTCACTCCCCAGGGGGACACAGGCCACCCCATTAAAATACTTTGATATCATAAAAGGCAGCAGCAGAATCTAAAAGGGACAGGAGGGGAAGACAGAAGCACTGCGATTGGGTGCCACTGCCATGTCAACACAGCTCTGAATAGGAGAAAAAGTGGTGGGAGGTCCTCACTCCCCCTGTGTGTGCCAGCCCAGCCTCGCCTGGGCTGTCTCCTGAGACCACCACCCTTAGAGGAGCTGAATTACCAGAGCTCCAATGATGGCTCACTCTTGGCCACCTCTGTCATTTTGGAAATACACTTTGAAAATTTTGTCAAGACTGTGCATTCTTTAGGCACAAAGAAATTCAATTCAGTCACTTACTCTGAAGACAAATCAAAGCCCAAAATCTGGGCAAAAAGGCAATTTACTATCAAACATTAAGACAATGCTCCAAAAGTTAGTGGTTTTATTGGGGATAAGGAGGGATGGTCGTGTGGCCTATCTTTATTGTCTAATTCCATGCTAATAAAACACGATTATGAAGCTAAAAAGCCAAATTATTTTATCTTCTGATTGACACTTAACAGAAACCATAATTAAAGACATTAATTATTTTTACCCAGTGGTATTTTCATGTCCTTTGGGATTTACTTCAGTAGCATTATCAAGGTCTTCACTTCTTTAAAAAAAAAAGTTTATATCAGTTTCAAAACATTCCCATAATATTAGACACATACATCTTCTGTATTCCCAATGATTAATTCAAGCTTTTGGAGAAAATTATTATACTGACATTAAATTGGCTTTAAGTATAAAAATTGCCAATCAATAACATAGTTTAATTAATCCTTAGGATTTTATTGGGCTATATGTAAATGTAAATTTAGATCGAATATACTGTAGATTCTTTGAAGTGAAGATCAGGGCACCAGGGATTAGACACAGAAGAGAGAAGCCAAACAAAGATGTGGTGCCCTCAATATCACATAATTAATATGAGAGAAAATAACCAATATTTAGAGACATCTGTTCAGTTCTCACCTTCTGCTCGTTTTATTCATCCTGGCATTCACTTTAGCAACAGATTCGAGATTTTGTCTTCTTTGGAAAAAACACCAAAACTTGTCAGTTAGGTTACAGTACAATTTTCTCTGAAATCTGTATAATCAAGAATGTCCCTGAATGTGGTGTCAGGTGTTTTCAGGACCAAATGACCAAAAAGAGCTTTGATGTAATTATCCTTAACTTACCTTTAGTAATTTCCACAATAGCATTTCATTTAAATGTGTCTAAATCAGTTTAGAAAGGCTTCTCAATGTGGCTCTCGCTGTGCAATTTTGTCCTTTATATTTCTTAATTTAAATTAAAATTTGACTCATCTCTTAATTATTTAAGAAAATACGGAATAAGAGATTATGTAGCAGGTTTTCCTGCACCTACTTCAATGTAACTCAAATCAGAGGTCCTATGAAACAGCACTCAACATATTCCTTTTGCCTACTAGGTCTGATGGGTCAAAGCAGTACAAGAGTTCACTGCCACAAAGGAAAGCATAACACTCCCATTCCTAATGAGGTAAAAAAGCTAACCTGAATAAAAAGAGCTCCATCAAGGTAGGAGATTGACTTACCCTTTCTCATTTTTGTCAGTCCTTTGATTAACTTTAATCGGACTTCCAAGGCTTTGGATTCTTTACAACATTGGGGGAAAAGAAAGAGAAAGAGAGAGTGAGGCAAGAGCAACTCAGTGATATATTCAGACTCTCGTAATGACAACAGCAGATTTCCCACAAGAGAATCTCATAAGATACAATCAGTGCCTAAAGGATCAGAAGTCCTTGGAAATACTGAATTCAGGTGGCTCTATCCATCATGCAAAATGCATAAGCAGCAGCCTGAGACTAAGATACCAACCATTACTCAGTTATGATGGAGTCAACTTAAAAGTTTTAACCAAGGCTTTTGCTTTCTTGGAGGTGGGTTGGTGGGAGGCTAATTTTAATACGTATATTGAGATACTGTCTTATTTAAGCATGAAAATCATTTACATCAGGGGTAGAAATCAATTGATCAATATTTTAAGTCTAAATACTTTGAGAATTCAGACAAGTCATTTCTCTTAAAAAGTTAGCAGATGTGTTTAAAGGGTCTGAAGTCACCTTGGTAAAGTCAAAATAACTGTTATGGTCCCAGCACTTTATATAAATGAAATAAAACTTTCACATGCTAATGATTAAAAATTATTAGCGAATATGAAAGCTAATCTCTTTAAATTCCCCCAAGCTTCCAAGTATTATGCTTTGCCATTTTCATCTCTCTGATTTCTCTGTGATAAGACTGTTGACATTTTAAGTTATTTCAATGTGAGAAAGAAGGAAGGGAAGAAGAAAAAAGAACTAGGACTTTTTCCCTACCATGCAGACAAGATCAGTTATTCCTGCACCAAAACTCAGTTGTTATCAAATTATCCCAGATTATAAATCTTTTTCCCAGCCCACAAAATGATCTACTTAAGATGCACATCCTACTTGTCCTTTTGTCTACCACTTTTGCAGAACTCTCCAAACTGTTTTTGAAAAATATCTGGAACCTCATCTATTCCTAGAAAGCTCATATAGCCATGTACAAAAAAAAAAAAAAAGAGACTGTTTTTCAACTTCATCTATTCCACATTTTTAAAAAATTGTCTATAATATGTTGGCATGTTTACATTATAATCATATGTTATTAACAAGCCTGTGTGATGGTTACTGCCAATGCTTTTCATCATGTAGACTTTGTTAAGTGTTCTACATCATAAAGGGTTAAGAATGCATCGCCAAGATTGGTTTGGAAAGCTAGAATGCCATTCTGGGCATAGATTGGCACAGATAAATGGTTTTTAAAAATAACTGTGACAATAGAAATAATTCTCATGTTAGAAAGGCAAATTTCATGACTAACCAAATACAAAGTAAACAGCCAATCTGGAAGGCAAAAATAGTAGAGATCTCATAAATCCTTGCCCTTTGTCATTCTTGACTATTCTGGGATTTTCTCTAGTGAAATGGTCACGGCTTTGGTTTCTTTCAACAAGAAAAATAATATCAGTCATGTAAGTCAATTATCTAGTATATCAGTCAGGCTAGAACTATAAGGCAACCTCTTAAATGCTATCAGTTCAGTTACTAATCATCAATTAACCCATTTTATGATTTAAAATAAATAAAAGCATAGCTTTTCATTTAAAGGTATTTACAAATACGTATGAAGAGATATACATATGAAATGACCCAACTAAGATTCCAACTGAGAAGTGCCTTTATACACTCTAAAGACTTCAGTGGTGGCCGGGCGTGGTGGCTCATGCATGTAATCCTAACACTTTGGAAGGCCTAGGTGGGCAGATCACGTGAGGTCAGGAGTTCAAGACCAGCCTGGCCAACATGGTAAAACACCATCTCTACTAAAAATACAAAAATTAGCTGGGCGTGGTGGCGGGCACTTGAAATCCCAGCTACTCGGAAGGCTGGGGCAAAAGAATCACTTGAACCCGGGAGGCGGTGGCTGCAGTGAGCCAAGGTAGGGCCTCAGAGCAAGACTCTGTCTTAAAGAAAAGAAAAAGAGAGAAAGAGACTTCAGTGGTGAGGGGCTATGCTCCCAGCACCTAAATGCCTTAATATAAATGTATTTAGTTCATAAACCAACCTATTCTCCACTACTTGTAACAGCTAGTTGTGTTTCTTTCCATTTTAGATATGAAGGGGAACTGGGAGATCATCTAGGTCATATCCTTCATTTTATGGAATGAGGAAACAGAGCTCTCCAGAAATTACACAACTTGCCCAGGGTCACCCAGATTGATGTTGGTGGCAAAACCAGCACCAAGATACACACTATCCCTGGACCCCAGTCTAAGGCTTATTCCACCAGCCTGCCTGACCCTTGTACTAAGCAGGAGGTCTCCTCCAGAAAATAGTACACCATCTGGGACTCAATCAAAATGGTCTGTCTTAATAAAATCTTACCCTTTGCCATCTTTATCTGTCCGGGTACTCATATAGATGAGACTTTCAAGGCTTTTGGCTCTGAAAACACAAAGAAATTCACATAAAAGGCTGCATACTGAAATGAAATTGTGTGGTATCTTGAAAGGTCAAATGCAATAAACATTCTCCATGAATTGCTCATTTACTCTTATTGAATGGAAGAGCAGAAATCCTTCTGGGTAATTATGTCTGAACTAAATGTACAATGCTGAGAGCACTACCCCATCTGCCAGTACATTTCCATGCCAGAGGATACAACCCCCTTGCAGCTAATGTCTGAGGGAATAAGACGAGCAATCTGCAAGGTAAGATTTTCATATTTGAGACAGATGCACTTACCTTTTCTCTCTTTCTTCTACCTTTGGATTTGCTCTGAAGAGACTATCAAGACCTTGATTCCTTTAAATGTATTGATTTAAAAAAGCCTCATCAGTGATAATGACCAATGCTTAACTCTATAAGAACATAGACCAGTTTACATCTAAGACAGGAAACAGAAGCTTGTTGGGGAAGATGAGCTACAATTCTTGAAATAGGTATATTCATAGACTCAAATTTTAAATTGCAGTGGGCCTTAGAGAAAACAAAATAAAAGATATAAACTGGGGATCTGTCAACCACAATAGGTCTATAGAGGTGTTACTTGGATTCATGGAGCATTTCTACCCTTTTAGCTTTCAAGCGTGGGCTTTAAAGTGAGCCCATGTTACAATGATGGTCAGGACACACAGAAACCTGAATTTTCAGGCTAGGTGTAGTGGCTTATGCCTGTAATCCCAGTACTTTGGGAGGCCAAGGTGGAAGGATCACCTGATCCCAGGAGCCCGAGACCAACCTGGGCAACATGGTCTGACCCCATCTCTACAAAAAAATTAAAACTTAGCCAGGCATGGTGGTGGTGCCTGTAGTCCCAGCTACTTGGGAGGTTGAGGTGGGAAGATTGCTTGAGTCCAGGAAATGGAGGCTGCAGTGAGCTATGATTGTATCACTGCACTCCAGCCTGGGCGACAGAGCGAGACCCTGTCTCTAAAACGAATGAACAAACAAACAACAAAACTGGATTTTCAGGATCTCCTGAGAATGCCCTGCTGTCCTGCAACACTAGACTCAGTGGAGACCCTCAGCTGGAGCTGAGCTGAGAAGCAGCTGTGTGCTCAGACAGGGCATTTGCTCTCCTTTTGGCCGCAGTTATCACAGTCAGTCTCCTCACCCACTCACACCTGCCTGGTCTCAGCGGGCCGTGGAGTCTGTGACTCCTGATCTAAAACCTCCTCTCCTTGTAAATGAGGAAACTGAAGAGCAGCAGATTAAGTGATCATTATTGCCAGAACAGGATAGGAAAAACACATCTCGGGATCCTCTGATCAATGAATTCATTTGGCATTTCCCTGTTTTCTCCTTCTCTTTGATCACTGTTTAGTGGGTTAGTATGCAAAGTAATAGAGAGCTTGCTTACATTATACTTACCACAAACACAAGCCTTGATTATTCATTTTTCTCTCTTGGCATATTTCAAGTTATACAATTATAAATGATTCAAAACAAGAAGATACAGCCTGGGCAACATAGTGAGACCCCATCTCTACAAAAAATTAAAAATTAGCCACACGTGGTGGCACAGGCCTGTAGTCCCAGCTACTTGGGAGGCTGAGGCAAGAGGATGGCTAGCGGCCAGGAGGTCAAGGCTGCAGTGAGTTATGATTGCACCACTGCACTCCAGCCTGGGTAAGAGAGTAAGACTCTGTCTCAAAAAATAATAATAAACAATATAACATTAACTATGATAATAAAATGTTTTTTGTAATGGTTAAACTAAAATTATTCCATGATCAAACCAAATTCTGTTTACATTTTAGTTAATTAATATTTCAGGAAGAGAAAAGTGGTTATTTATATAACTGCCTTAATAAACAAATGGCGTATGAAAATCAAGAACACTTTCATATTAGTATCTTCAGACTTTAATAACCATTCATCATAACAATGAAATGATGATGATTGCTGCAAGCTTTTATTCAAGATTTGTAGGATATTTTTGACTACCCTGGTATGTGGGTCCTCACGCTCAAAGACTGGAAAGGCATAAAAAGTCACAATATGCAACTCAGTAATAAAAGATAAACATTTAAAAATCTTACCTATTCAAGCTTTTGTTCATTTTGATGAGATTATCCAATTCTTCACTTTGGGAAGAGAAAAAAATGTTTAACATTAGTAAAAAGCTTGCCCAGGGTCAAAGGGTAAATTTGCCTTAAAATGACAGTTCTCTGAAATACAACACATCCCACTTTTATCATCTGCGAAAATCCTGATGATCCTCAAAGCTCGCATCCAACACCACTTTCTCCAGAAAGCCTTTCCTAGTCCTCTAACTGAATAGAGTCCTCTACATTTTTGGAGCCCTTGCAGCATTTGTTTTTTCTGCACCTGCTTTATGACAGTTCTGTGACTATACTTTGAGTTATAGCCATTGCACACTGGTCTCATGTTAATGCTCCTACCTCAGCACAGGCACACATATGCACACCACTTAAAATTTAGAACTGTATTTTACATCAGACACACTTCTGTGTTTTAATACAGTGTTCATACAGTAGATACTTAATACCCACTTTTAATTGAGTCCACACATAGGTACACTGATTAATTACAGCATTGTGCAATGTACTTGCACACGTAGCTTCTAGAAAACATTTGTTCATCAGTAAGTCTGGCTTCCTTCTTGAGCTCTGCTACTTCATTTCCAGGTCAGCTAAATTTGCTAGCCTGTTTCCACATTTGACAACTGCAAAGCCTTTTCTGGCTGCTGCTTCAGGAGCAACCTATTTAAATACTTAGGTTCAGGAATTCTATTTAAACCACATGGGTTCAACTTTCTCCCCTAAGCAGGCAGCCTAGGTGAGGTGGGGTGGGGGTTTCACCACAGTGCTATTGGTTTCTTCCTCTAGTTCCCTGTCACAGCATGTCCTTTCTCCAACTTTTCTATTCATGACCTACCCCCGACCACACACACACACACACACACACACACACACACACCTTGCCCCACCTCTCTTGCCTTCCTCAGCAAGTTTTTCTGTTCACAAATCAGTAGTTACGCATTCAAGTTTCCTTGTTAAGGACACATGGAGTACGATCCAGGACTCATCACTTATTCATTGGTGAATCTGGGTGAGTTACCTAACCTTCTGTGGACTTAATTTTCCCATTTGTAAAATGAGAATACTAATCATACCCACCTCAGAAAAGATTCATAAGCTCATGAATATAAAGTATTTAGCACAATGCCTAACAAGTCATAAATTCCTGATTAATTTGGGCCATTATAATAAATAATGCCCTGTCATTACTAAATTTTTTGTTTAATAAATGCTTGCTATACTTTTTTTTTTTTAAGACAGAGTTTCACTCTTGTTGCCCAAACTGGAGTTCAATGGCATGATCTTGGCTCACTGCAACCTCCGCCTCCCAGGTTCAAGCAATTCTCCTGCCTCAGCCTCCCAAGTAGCTGGGACTAAAGGTGTGCACCACCATGCCCAGCTAATTTTTGTAGTTTTAGTAGAGATGGGGTTTCACCATGTTTGCCAAGCTGGTCTTGAACTCCTTACCTCAGGTGATCTGCCCACCTCAGCCTCCCAAAGTGCTGGGATTACAGGTGTGAGCCACCACGCCCAACCTAGTAAATGCTTGCTATACTTATTTTTTAATTGCACTTAGAAACACCAAGACTTCGACTTAGCCTTTAGAGAGAGATGCAATTGCTAAGTCACTTATGTGCTTGAAGATGCCTGGCACGATGACACTATAGCAAGAATAGCTGCTGAGGGTAGTCCTCTTAGAGACCCTAAATTAACAGCCAGTACATAGGTGAATCCTGTCAAGTAGTTTTAGGTATCAATGGTAGAATTGTTGCCTGAGAATAAATACTGAAATACAAAAGTTGCTGCCTCTAACAACAACAAAAAAATTAATGCTCTATCCTTGTGTGTGACAAACACTACCCAGTCCCTTGACACAGTAACCCATTACTGTTTCTTGCTTGATATTCTACCCACTAACTCTGAGACTAACAATCTGTTCATGTCCCCAAGGGAAAGAGCAAACCCACGAGTCCTATAAATTTTAGCCCCAGGCTTTCCTGACTGGCATGAGTCACAATGATGAGATTATCAGGATTTGGAGTTGCTTTATCCCAAGAAAATTAGCATAAATCATGAGAAGACACTCTGTGGCAAATTAAATAAAATGGATACTGTATTCCAAATAAAAAACTTAAGCTTTCAAAATGACTTTAAATTGATGAAAGCTTTGGATATTAAGTTTCACCATTGCATTTGTAACAAATTAAATGCTCTTAATCAGATAGCAGTAACATTCCATTTCACAAAGAGCAGCTCGGATAACTAAAGCCATTTCTACTCCCTGTGGATGGTCCAAAGAAACAATACTCTATGATGACTACCATGAACATTTTTCCTGATCCCTGTCAAGCAGCAACTTCTCTCTGTGATAAATGTACCTGGCTGTGGAATTTGAGCATTATGGCTAGGGAGCAGGGACAGGAAAGTTAAACTAACTGCCTCTCTGACAGTTTTTATTTGATTTACACCAAACCATAATTTCCCTTCAGAGTCACTCACTTATCTGTTTCTCAGATATCCCGATCACCCACCAAACCACTGTCTAATCCCTACTGGAAACAAAATATTACCTGCAACAGAAATAAATCAATAAAATTAGAGATCTAGACACTTCAATGAGGGAAGACATGGAAATGAAACATTCAGGACAATTTCTATAGACTCTGTCTGGATTCAGAGCTCCTATTTTGTTTATGAATTTGCACAGAAAAGCCAAGTGTCACATTTTCTTCTCTTCAATTCTTTTGACAGAGACTGCAATCTCTAACAACACTCTTAGCATTACTAAAATCTATTAAACAAGGAATATTTTTGAGAGCTTTGGACTTAAACAATGGAATATTATGATTTTACCATAATCTATTAAACACTGTGTACAAAGCATCATGTCACACACTGTAAATGGCAAATAAGACAAAATATCTGCCCTGAGAGACTATAGAGATGATAGAGAAGGTAACACACTTATGCAAATAACAGGAAACAAAACTGAGTATGATTCGCTCTTATAAAATATGAATAGTGCAACTCTAAGTGCTAATAGAGGCAGAAGTCACATCTCACTGGATCACTCAGGGAAGACAACAGAGAAGGTGCCACTTGATCCAGATCTTGAACAATGGGCAGGGCTTGGATGGATTGGCATGGTGGCTTGAGGCTGGAAAAGGCTACCATGTGGTATAAACAAAGCCAGAGTATTTGGAAACTACAGAGAGAAAATGGTTTCCCTTGATATGAACGTAGGATAAATATAGGAGTGAAAACAGAAATAACTGGAATGTGAGGCTGGAGCCAGGTTCGCAAGGGCTTTGAATGAGGTTATATGCCATTGAATGGGCAATGTGGATCTGGTTCAGTGATTGAGCAGAATCTTTGGAAAAATTATGGCATTGATGGGTGATAATAGTTTAGTGGAAGGAAAGCCTGAAGAGTGTAAGTAAAGCTGAATAACTACTCTAATAATCTGTGAAGGAGTCAATGAGGTTTTAAACTAGGGGAAATCCGTGTACACATGAGGGACATTTTAGATGTTTAATTCGTGCATGCATGATACTACTTAAGGGGAAGGGGAAGGAGAAGGAAGAATCAAGAATTATTCCAGAAAGGTGAGTCTGCAGGAATTCAAGAACAGAGAAGTGAGGAACAGCACATTTGGGAAGGAATTTGGATATGACCTTGGACATCCTGAGGGGTGGTGCTAGGAGATGAGTGGAGATCTGGACCAGCAACATAAATACAGGACTGGATATTTGGAATGAGGCTTGACAGCTGAGGTCACTGGGTGAGTAAAATTGCCAGAAAAAGCAGCAGAGTTGGAAGAGTGTCCATAAATGTTGGCACCATCCACTATTCAGGAATACTTATCTGGAGAAACTGATGCTTTCTTATTTTAAATTATATACGATATACAGCACTAGGATTTTGTTCATATTTGGAACTTTTAAAGGTGTGGTTAAGCATTTTTGAAACACCAGGGAAGATAAAACCCAAGCTCAAAAGCTCTGAGATCTCACCCTTTGTCACTTCTCTGAAGTGAAGTGGCCACTTTGACGATGTTATCAAGATCCTGACTCCTTCAAACAATGAAAAATAAATACAGGTCAATGATAGTCGAGCTATTTTTGAAGGAGCTAAAATTTCTCATTTGTTTTCAGTAAATAAAGTAAATAGTCTAGGTGGTGTTCAGGAATTACTGAGTTTAACAGAATGACAAAATGGTTCTATTATGTCAGCTCATGGCACACAGAGACACACACATCCCCCACTGACACACACACACACACACACAGACACACACACACACACACACACACACACACACACACACTCCCCTCTGTTATTCCACCTGGGTGTTGGCTCTGCCATCTAGTGCTCACTGAAATAACTACATTTTCTCCTGAAGACTTGTATTGCCAGCTCCCAGGTTCTATGTTACAAAAAGGACATAGAAAACAAAATCCATTTAACTGACAAGTAAACACAGAAGTGAGTTCAAAAGGTTTTCTACCAGAACCAAGCAGCATTAAGCAACAGATACAATTAATTAATTAATTATTCCTTTTCACCCTAAAGGGGTGAAAATGTTTGTCTTCTCAGACTCTAGAATAGGTGGAAGCACCTGAGCACATAGAGGGCTCATGTATTCCAAATCAGATCAATGCCAATATCCCTGGATCATAAAAGGAACAATTAGGAAAATTCTTATAGTAATTAAGAACTGTGGGCTGGGTGTGGTGGTTCACACCTGTAATCCCAGAACTTTGGGAGGCCAAGGAAGGAGGATCCCTTGAGGCCAGAAGTTTAAGATTAGCCTGGGCATCAAAGGGAGATCCCCATCTCCACATACAAATTTCTTTTTAAATTAGCTGGGTGTGGTGGCCTGTGCGCGTAGTCCCAACTACTCAGGAGGCTAAGGCAGGAGGATCTCCTGAGCCCAGGAGTTTGAGGCTGCAGTGAGCTATAAGTTCTCTGCTGCACTCCAGCCTGGGTGACAGAGCAAGATCCTGTCAAAAAAAAAAAAAAAAGGAAGAAGAAGAAGAAGAAAAGAAAAGAACTCAGTATCTCATAGATGGTTAATAAGGTTCCATGAAGAAAGGATTTTGTAGCCAAGTAAGTTGGGAAATGTAACCGACTTTTGCTGATTTGGAATACACATAAGCACACTAAAGATTCTGAAAAGTTCTGTGGCAGAAAACTCTATTAAACTGTGTTTCCTAAATGTAGTGAAACACTGAACTCTTCTTTTGCAGAACATGCATTGACATCCTGTGGCACATAGAACACAGGTTGGGGAATGCCAAGAGTGGTGCTGTAAGCTCCTCAGAACAAGGGAAACATGACTTTCTCCAAAGAAGAGAATACATGTGATGTGTCTTTTAGAATGGCACTCTTCTGAAAGTCAAACGGGGATAATATAAAAAATGAAAAGTATATAAGTTTTAAACTTCAAAGTAATTTTTTCAGTCATAAAAATCTTTTGACTGAAAAATTATCATATTGATAGACCTATAAAATTGCACTGTTTAAAAACTATTTTCAAAAAGTAATTTTTTTCCTTAGAAAAGGGAGAAAAAGAAGACACATCCAGAACAAATGCTAGACTAAATAGGATGTGCAAGACAACAAGCATAAATTAGAAGTGTAAATCGGGAGACCAGACATTTGGGGAATGCCACCTTACCCTCCCCCCCGACGACATTTGGTGAATGTCCCTTAACAAATGGCATCAATGTGCTTCTTCCTGATGCTGCAGGATTTTGTAACACAAGTTCAACTGAACAACTGTATTTCCACCTCTTTATACATCCACACCAACTATATCATAGACCTCAGAGCAGGTCCTGGGAATAAAGAGGTGAGCAAGCTTTCCTGCCTTTAGTGGGTTTGATCTTATCCTGTTACCTTGTTCACACCATTTTGGTAGTTTTCTTAATGGAAAGTTTGGGATAGAATTAAAAGGAACAAAATTCTGAAAGTGCCTACAAAAACATTTATTAATATTTTGGAGTCAGTTGGAAAACTGATTTTGTCTACCTTATTATTAATTGCCTTGCATTTTTTAATGTGCTGAGAAAGCATACTTTATCATTACTACAGTTACATAGATATAAATAGAAAT
Organism: Homo sapiens; assembly: GCF_000001405.40. NCBI lineage: Eukaryota > Metazoa > Chordata > Mammalia > Primates > Hominidae > Homo > Homo sapiens. Next base: position 77,591,468 of record NC_000013.11, on the reverse strand, counting down.
CAGTGTACCTTATATTTCTTTCAGCAGATCTGTTGGTTTCTGTATATACACCTGGTTTAGGTGGATGTATCTGCCTATATTTTCAAAGTTAGAAGATTATATCAGTCAGAAAAGAAAACACTTTTTGATAAATTGAAATTTATTTTAAAAAATTTATGTACAAAAAGATCAGTGTTTGTTGGAACCATAACACTACCTGAGATAACAAACTTAAATTCTTTGGGTTGGCGGGAACTCCAGTATACTGAGTTTGTAATTTAATCTATCTTTATCGCATATTTGTAAACCACTGGATCTATCTAGACTTATAAGTTCTAAATATGTTTATGTTGTTTTTTGTTCTCCATCAATAAAGCATTTTCATACTTATCTCTATCAGATAATGATATAACATTTTAAAATATTAATTTTTGTTATGGGCATCAAAGGGATTTTTTTCTTAAAGAATTATCCCATTTGAATACTATCAAGAAATATATTTGTTCATAAAAGGTGGGAAGAAGAGTCTATGTTTCAAGTACACCTACTACATTGGGAATGACCATACTAAGCTGACAGAATTAAATTTTATTATGTTAGGTTCTGGCACAATTTAAGACTTTTCTCTACTCTTTTTTAAAGTATCTGGTTGACCTACTTATACATTCCTACTTGTTCTCAAGAAGCTATATTCGACTATTTTTTGTACTCCTGAGGACATGTGTTAATTACATAGGAAACACTTCCATTTCATATTCTTTCATTAAAATCATCTTGCTGTGATTAAAGTAGTCAGGACTTTAAAAAAACATGCAAGTTGTCCCAATTTTATTTTTTAGATCATTGGTAGAATAAAGAAATTTGAGTAGTAAGTTCCTGTGAAATTTAGCTTCCTTTAAATTTAAACAAGCTTGTAGCTCTAGTGATGCTGATTTTAGATTAGAATATCGGTGGTACTAAGGCCAATTAATTTTAGCCCCTTAAAACAATTCTATTCAAATTGGGATTTAATTGCTCAATACTAGAAGAGTTAGAGGAAAAATAATGTAAGATTAAAAAGCTTGAGAAGATATTTTTAAGAGATCATTATAACCATCATACAAACAAAAAGTTATAAATCTGATCTATATTTTTAATTAGTTCAGTGAAGAAATATTCTCTTGACTCAATTTAAAAAATTATGCTCTCATCCTATGGACAAAATTTCAAAGATCCTGTGCAGTTTCACTGAACAGAAATTCAAACCTGGAGTTTTAACACCTATTGCTACATGGTCCTGCTGCCCAGTCAAAACTTTGTAACTGAAGTTACTCTCTTAATGAAGAATATTTCTATAATTGTGTCTACTAAAAAGTAGTTCTATGGTTGTGTCTTATTAAAGAATAGTTTCATAATTGTGTCTTACGTGGTGTCAAAAAAATCACCATCGAAGAGCAAAAATACAAAAGAAGCAACAGTAGGCAATCAAGGAGATGTAATGTAGTCAATCTCCGTTGAGTTACTATTTTTTAATCTCACAATAATAATGGAAATGTGGGGTGTACATCTTGAAAAATTGTTCAAGATATATTAAACAGTTTAAATGTAACACATGGGAAGAGTTCAGATCTCTGAATTTGTTTCCAAGTATTAATTATAGAGTGACAGAGATTCAAAGCTGAGAAGCAAGTCTATTTTTCCTGATTCAGAGACAAGTCAATTAGAACATCTTTCAAAATTTGTGATAGTTTTGAAATAAATTACAAATCCCTTCAGTAAAAAAAGATTAAAGAACTACTCAAAGGTATTTGTAACATAAGCAAGGATTTGAGTGGTAACACAAAGTTTCAAGAACATCGTTCATCAGAATCTGTATCTCTTAGTGGGAAACTTAACTTGGAACAAACATGAACAAAAAATACATTTTTAATATGGTTTATATGTATATTATATGTGATACATGTCAAATACATATATGTATTTATATTTGTATATTAGGAGCAAATATATAAAAAGTCTGTGTACAAACACTTTCTGAACATGAATATTGTTCCATTTTTATCTTGAAGGCATATTTTCTTAAGACAAGTTAGCCATTAGTATTCAAAGACAAACATAAATAAACATATGTGTTGGGAAATAAAATTAGAAAAAGTTCTACAGGCGCTTCTTTAGGGAATGTGCACACAAAACATTCATGCTTTGCCCACAGCGGGTCACAGTCCATTTACTTTCATTTCCCTTGAACTTCATTTTGTCAAGAAATTCTGGAGTACTAGGTCTTACCTATTATCCTGTCTCAGCTGGTTAGGAGAAGAAACAGGAGAACTGGGCTTTGGAGGTATTGGAGGGTGAACACCTGGTTCCCTTTAAAACAGAAAACAGCAGTTCATTTCACCATGGAAACATGGTAAATTTTAGCATCTATTAACTGAATGCATTTATTGCCTACATAAAAATATCCTTTGCATCTTACAACCCCCATGTGTGAGGTACCTGAAAGGTCAGAATCCATGGAGCACTAAACTTTAAAGAAGTCAAATATTGAAAATATGTGTATTTTTAAAGTTTATTTAATCAGGTTCTTGAAAACCCAATCCTCTTTCACTATAGTTTGGACTATACTATGTTCTTTAAATAACTCAATATTTTGCTAGTATATCTAGCTCTAGTCATGGCATTTCAGGTCAGCAGTGCATGAGAACTGTAAATGGTCCTTGGGTATTAATATATAAGCTTCTTTGGGGATTATGTCAACTATCAGGCTGCTATGGAAACAGCAAGAAAAGGCTTTAATTTCAGAGACCTCAAGGTAGCATTGATTTGAAGCTCTTAACTAAATCTGACTTAAATATTGTCAGCACAGGCCACTTTGATGCTGACAAAGCATATATACAATCTACCGTCAGCCTAAACTTTCCAATGAAGCACCACAGCAGTCTCTGAGTTGGCAGGACTTAATGAGGTAGGAACTGGAGATGGGCAATTATGTGCACATTTTGGATGGAGTCAGCACCTTACTAAGAGTATGTCACTCCCCTGTGTTCCCCACCACTACCACCCCAGCAGTTCTCTATTTGTCCTCAACATAAACTCTGTACCTGGTAAAAGAACCCTCTGATCCTGTGTACCCTTCTGGCTTCTGTAGCAATGGTAGATAGGCATGTGGGCTAGAGTCAGGCTGCCTGAATTGCCAGCTGTGTGGTAACAGGTTAACTTGATTCTGTTTCTTCATCTGTAATAATCTTTCTAATAGGATTGTTGGGGTATTGTCAGGACTGAATGAGATTGTGTTTTTACTCAACAAACATTTATTGGTAGCTTTCTATGTGCAAGGAAGGCTCTCTGTGAGCTGGGTAATGTCCTTGTTCTCAAAGGCTTTCAATATACAAATAAATATATGTCAGAAGAAGAAAAGTGCTGTGCAAATAATAATAATAATAAAACAGAATAAGGAGATATAGACTGATGGAATGGGAAGATTATTTTATTTAGAATGGACTGGGAAGGTCTCTCTGTCAGGTGAAATTTGAACCAAGACCTGCAGGAAGTAATAGAGTAAGCCATGAGGCTATCTGGAGAAAAAGCATATAAATACAGCCATCATTAGCTTAGAGATGGTATTTAATGCTTTAAACTGGCAGAGATCACTAAGGGAGTCAGTGTAAGTAGAGACAAAAAGAGGGCCAGGGGTTGGACCTTCAGGCCCTGCAATATTTAGAGGTCAAGAATATGAGATGAAAACAGCAAAAGAATCAGGAGGAGTGGCCAAGAAGGAAACAAGAGTAATAGAAGGGCGTGGCATCCCAGAAGCCAAGCGAGAAAAGTTTCAAGGAAAGAGTACTTGGCCATTTCAGATGCTACTGTTAATCAAATAAAAACAAGGACTGGGAAATTACCATGGTTTGGCCAACAGAGTGGTCTTTGGTCACCCTGATAAGAGCAGTTTTGATGGAACGATGGTGGGAAAAGAAAAAAAAATCATACGAGTGGATTTAGGAAAAAATGGGGAAGCAAGGAGATAGAGGCATTGAGGCAGTTTGGCAGTAAAGTAGGAAGACAGAAATGGGTAGCTACTTCGAGGCTGATGGATCGAGGAAGGTTACTACAGCATGTAGGTATGATGATGGGAATGATCCAGTGAATCATTGATGCAGGAGAGAGAGGGGGAAATCACTAGACAGATGACTTTGAGAATTGATGGGACCTAAGGCACAGGGTGGTGGTTGATCTTAGATGGAAGTACAGAGGGCTCATTCACAGCAGCAAGAGGGAAAGAACTAGATGAGTATAGCTGGGGTACGTTCATTGACTCAGAGTGAGGAAGGTTCTCTTTTGTTTACTTCTATTTTCTCAGTAAAATAACAATCAAGATCATTGATTCAAAGTGAGGAGGTTGAGTAGGGATTAGGACTGTGTGAGAAAGAAAGAGGCGGAGAAAATGTGTGAAATGGTTTTCTAGGCAAGCAGAAGAGTAAGTGGACCCAGGAAACGTAGTAAGATGGTGATGATGATGATGTACTATTATATGGGGTCATTATGTGCCAGAAACTTTTCTAAGCACTTTACATATATTAACTAATGAAATCCTCACTGCAATCCCAGACATAAGTATTATTCTTCTTCCCATTTTACAGATTAAAACACTGAAGCACAGAACATAAAGATAAATATCTCATGATGATGCAGCTCATAAGGGGCAGAGCTGGGAATCTGAAAGGGAAAGTCTGGCTGCATAAACCCTCCAAATGCTGTGCTGTCTCTTGAAGGATCCTTGGGCCATACCAATGGCTCAGTTGAGGTTAGTACTCATGGGCTTAAAATCAGGTTATTTGGCATTGTTTCCTCTTGCCATATTCAACTGGTTGGGGAGGAGGAACAGAATAGACTGAGAGTTGGATTTACCATTAGCCACGTTTACAATTCAGCCAAGTGAGTGCAACAAAGAGAATGATGGCAAGGGAGTGGAAGGGGTCTTCAAGGAAGGGGTTACAATGGGGGCTGTGGAGTTTGAGATGGGCATGGAGGGAAATGAGAATATGAGTAGTGGGGACTGTGAAAAAACTGGTAGAATTAATGGACTGGTGATTGTGATGGGGCTGAGGAATTCCTGGAATCAAAGGACTGAAGGGAGTGAGCTGGACAGAGAGAAAGCGGGAGCCAGAGAGGGAAAGCTTTGAAGTAGAAGTCTTGTAATTTTGTAGGGTATGTGGTTATTTACAGGGCAAGATCTATCAATGGCTGCAGTAGTGGGAAGAACAAGATCATCGGGGAGAAGGTCACAAAGGTGAGTGGTCGGGGAGGGGAAGGATCCTCTGCATGGATTTTGAAATCACCAAGCATTATGACAAGAGGAGGGTTTGGGAAAGACAGTGAGCGTGGTGCTGAAGTCTTCAAAGAATGAGTGTGAGTGTCTCAGAGACCTTCAGATGACTCCAACAAAGATGAGAAGCTCACAAGGGCATGGCTTCAAAGGAGATGGAGAGTTTCAGGGAGGAGGGAGTTAAAATTAACAGCAGGTGGTGATGAGAAGCAAACAAGACCCCTACCTTCATCCGGACCCTGTGATATGTCAGTTTAGAGGGAAAACAGCCCTTATTGAGAGACAGGCTGTGGAAGCAGGGTCCTCTGGAAGAGCACAACAAAAAGGTGGGAGATCATTCAGAGGGGAGGCTGAAGAGTGGAGGATTTTGGCAATGACAAATGACACGCTCAGCAAGGTGGAGTGGAAGGGTTTGAGAGCTCAGTGTGATATTAGGTTGGGTCAGGTTCAGGGAGGTACAGAGCTCTGTGGAGATGGTCCAGGTGATAAGAAATGACCTGACTGGGGTTTCAATGAGGGTCTATGGAAAGGACATAATGGAATGAGTCCTGAGAACTTTCAGCAGAGTGGTGGTGAGGCCGTGGGTGATGGATAGTGGAGCACCAAGCATGGTGGGTCTCTTGGCTCTCATGTTGATGGTGACATTGAAGCCAGAAGAGCGCGCACATGCTTGGCTTCCACACAGGAAATAGTGTCTTTTGCTGTAGTGGTTGTTGTTTTCACCCCACATGACCCCAGGGCTGCAGATGTGACAAACTCTTACCCTTCCTAATGCACCCCACCATATTCTCTCCCCGCTGTGGAGCACCTCCTTCTTCCCTTCACCTGGAAATTCTCTCCTTGCCCTTCAGACTTTGGTTTAGGAGTATCTATCTCCAGTGATACCCAAAGCCATGCTATATACATCCCTACATTCCCCCATAACAACCCTATTCACAGCACATATCACACTATTCTGGATTACACATGATATTCTGTTCCCACACTGAACTGAAAGTTCCTAAAAGGACAGCTATATCCCAAGTACTAGGATTGTGTATGGCATAAGAATGAAGGAGGAAGTGATTGGCTGAATTTCTTTGGCAGGGAGGAAATGGGTACCAAAGACGGATTTGCAACTTTCAAAATCTGTGCAAGTTTAGCTTCCTCATAGGAGAATTCCACTGTCAATCCCATTACAGAACACCTACTAGGTGCCAGGTACTTGGCTGAATCATTCTGTTGTGTGATATTTCTGGAAGAGCAATTTACATGGAAATAGTCTTCCCATCCTGGCTTAGTGGCAGATTCTACAGTATTTTGTTTGTATTGCCACCATCTTCTTTTCTCGGAAAATATCCTTGTGTTGGGTGTATGCATCAAGTGATACAGTCTTTAGTGTATCTGTGTGGATTCATTGGTTACATGCTTTCCTTCCAGAGGCAGAGGAAAGGGGGAAGGAGGTGATCAGTCCTGGGTAATAATGAGGCTGTACAGAACACTAGATGTCTGAGGACAGGCAGGAAAGAGGTAACAAGGTGGAAAGGAGGATTACAAAAAATAGAAATGGGATGGTGCCAAGCTTTACTTATGTTACAGTCATGTTAATGACATACTCAATTTCTTCCATTTTAAAATGTCTAGGGCCTCAAAGAGGTGGGTAAATATGGATTGCGTGGATCAGGGGAGTAGAAGTAGATCTGAAATGGTCTGGAGAATACGCAGGAAAGGGAAAGATGGATGTGCAGTTATGAAGGCCAAGAAAAGCAGAGAAGCATGTTTATTTCCAAGGGTGATGCATTTACACCCCTGCTGGGCCAGGAGCCAGGCGATGCCATGTTGACTTCCATTTACCTCAAAGGAGCTTTCATTTGCATCACTGCAATGACAGCCACAGATGACAGAACTCAAGCCCTGGGGTGGGGCGGGCAATGAGAGGAGTCATTCATGTCGTGCCAGGAGCATGATGTGATGCCAAGCAGGGGGATTAAAATGCAAGAGCGAGGCAGGAAGCTGTGGCCAGAACGTTCTGAAGAGAAGGAAACAAGAGACATTCATTGGAATGATCTTCATTGAATTCTGCTTTGAGATGCGATGTTTAAGCTTGGGTAAGTTGACCCTGGCTCTCCCCTTCACCCATCCCCAGACCCCTCAAGGGTCCTGCAGGATATATGCCACCACACTAGTGGCTATCATGATGAGCTTTCAGGAATAAAAAACGTGGATTTCACGAGAAACATGTGAACACTTGCAGACTGTAGCTCAAAGGCCAAAGCTAAAAGAAATAACACTGTAAAGAAAGCTGTCTATATTACTTCATTTCCATATGCTGCTGCAAATATCACGTCTTTCCTCATGGCTTTTTTGCATAACATGCTTGGCTCTGTGACTTCTGTTTGAGTCTGGCTGTGTGAACATGTCTATTACTGCAGCACAAATCTAGGTTGAACACAGAATCATTGTCTCTAATATTTAACTGTGAATTTTGTTTTCACTTTCTATTGTGCTTAGCCAGGGTTTCAAACTGGTCTTTCTGATGTTAAATCCCTTGTTTTTTCTCTATATCATACTGTAGACAACCAATTCTCTTCCAGGTATTTTCACTGCGAATCTATTAAAAATTGGTTGATCTGAAATATTTCCTTGCTCAAAAAGCACTTACTCCACAACTGCCCCATTCATAATGTTAGGACACACAACAGTATATGAGCCGTAACTGGGCAGTCAAAGACTAGAAAAGATGTAGTCCATGCCTTCGAAGAGCTTGGAGAATGCAAGGCACATGTTCAAAAGAATGGTTACTGTGATGATGCCTCGCTTTCTAGTGGCCAGTCAGTAAACCATAACCTAGTAATGGAGCTTGCACTGGACTAGAATTCTAGAGATCTAGATTCTAGATTCTAGGCTAGCTTTGCCACCAACTTTCTCTTTGACTCTGGAAAAAGCTCTGTTACCCTCCAAAACTCTGCTTATTTGTCTATAAAAGGAGGAGATTGGCTCAGATCTGTGGAAGGTAAACCACTACATGAATAAGGGAGGGTGGCGCTATTGCAGGGAATCCTCCACTCCACAAGTACCTTGACGTTCATGTACTGTGCTTTTTAAAGGTATGTAGATGCTGTTGTGGTTAATAAAATTTAAATTTAAGTTGGCTCTATAAGAACATGAGTCAACTTTTATTGGTCAGTAGATACAAAGATACACAAATTTAAGTATTGCTTAAGTCATAGCAGCTTTTTGTCCTTAGATGTTTTCTCAAAGACATAAAAATATTTCAACTATTATCAAGTGAACTAAAAAAAAGTTAGCATTACTAACGAGTCTACTCAAAATGGATCACACATCTATATGTCAAACATAAAACTACAAACTTTTAGAAGAAAACAGAAGAAATTTTTGTGATCATTAGTTAAGCAAAGAGTTCTTAAACATAATAACAAAAGCATAATTTATTTAACAAAGCTTGATAAATTGGATTTCATTAAATTAAAAAAACACTTTGGCTCTCAAAAGTGCATCGTTAAGAGAATTGAAAAACAAGCCACACACTGGAAAAAATATTTGCTATTCACATATCTGACAAAGGACTTCCAAGCACAATGTATTTTTTGAAACTCTCAAAACTCAGCAATAAGTAAACAAACCAGCAGGAATAAAATGAGCAAATGATTTAAGATACTTGGGCCTACAGGATGGTTCAGACCTGTAATCCCAGCACTTTCGGAGGCCGAGGCAGGAGGATCATCTGAGGTCAGGAGTTCGAGACCAGCCTGACCAACATGGTGAAACCCCGTCTCTACTAAAAATACAAAAATTCAGCCAGGCGTGGTGGCACGCACCTGTAGTCCCAGCTACTCAGGAGGCTGAGGCATGAGAATCACTTGAACCCAGGAGGCAGAGGTTGCAGTGAGCCGAGATCACACCACTGCACTCCAGCCTGGGCAACAGAGTGAGACTCCATTTCAAAAAAATATTTAACAGATACTTCACCAAGGAAGATACACAGATGACAAACAAACACATGCAAACATATGAAAAGGGTGTATATAATGTGTGATTCCATTATATGACATTCTGCACATAGCTAAGAGAGGAGACAGAGAGATGAGAGGACAAAGATGGGCTGCCTAGTATGAAGACAGTCCCAAGCAAAATGTTGGTCCTTTCACCCCCATCCCCCACTCCCATTGTCCTCTCCCAAACCCTACACCACAGCATGTCCCTATCACCTATACTTCACTGTACTCAGGCCTCCCTGCCTCCCAGTCTTCTTCCTCCAAAGCCATCTTCCACTCCCCTCCACACAATGCAAGCCTCCATTCCCTCAGCATGCTCTAATTCTGCCCAGTTTTAGCAGGAAAGAAACCTGGTTTATATAACTGACACTAAGATTTGAATGACCAGAGACAGTCCCTTTAACCTGCCATGCTTCTAATTGAGGTGAAATTTACAATCTCTAGTCGATAGAACTTCCAGCAATACTAGGAGAAATGGTGAAATAATTTTTTAAAAAATCAAATTATTTGGTTTTTATGATTGGAGCAAGGTGACGTTTTTGACAGAGTGCTTGACCCTAGGTATCCTGATTCTCCTAGCTTCTTTCTTTATCCTACTTTTGAACCTAGAGCTTCCCTGCTTCCTCATATTTCCAGGAGCCCCCCTGGCAGGGGCGGAGGCAACAAGAGCTCCAAGAGAGGGAGGAGAGGTGGGAATCTGGGTTGGGCAAAGCAGCGATGCTTTGCATTTGTTGTTCAAATGTATGAGTTACTTCAAACTAGTGTTAGGAAATCAGGGACTGTCTAGGTTGTTCCCATAGGACTGAAGAAAAAATAATTCATTGCTAAAGGTTAAGACCTTCATTTACAGATTGCGAATTAGGTTTCTCCTTGTTCTGTTCAAACAACACATTTTAAAAATAATAAACTTAAACTCAGGCTAATATTTTAATTATTTTGAATGTTTAGAATGAGCAATCTAGGCATTCAGGTAAGATTTTTAAATCACTGTATTTTGATATTTTATTGCGTGTCATAGAATCTTAATTTCTACAAAAGAGATTCCAGTTAATATAAATATTTTTTTGTTGAGATAAAAATAAGATGTATTGCTTTTATTTAGCATGACATCAAACTTTGTAGAGGATTTGGTACCAATAGAGTTAAAAATGTTGCAGCATAATTAGAAAGGTTACATTTTACCATTTATAGTTACAGACAGAAAAATATAACTGTAGTGCAAGGTTGCCATGGCAACTCACTTCTCAATCAGGATATTTTTTTCCTCCTCCAAGTCTACCAATCAGCTAACAGGAAGTGAAATAACCACTGAAGGAGAAGAGGTCAAAACAAATAAGGATGAGAAATTATGTAGAAAATATTTATATGGTAATTTTCCCAGATGCGTTTCTACTACTTTAATTTTATCAAATATTATTTTCTTTTCTATCTTTAAAAATGATTCCAGAAAAAAAGCACATTCATTTCTAGTGGTGGCTTCATTATTGTTCCTAAATGAGAATAATGAATAACATTCATAAATATTCATACTGTCTGTTAAGCAAGTACTTTAGTTTGGCTTCCATGAGGTTCTTAAATGAGCTTTACATGCCATTTAACCACTGAATCTCCAAGTCACCTAAATACACAGTTAGAATCATTTGAATTTACCAAAAACAGAATACAAAAATTTAATGGTAGGTTCTGAAATCAGAAAGAAATTCAACTTTCCAGAACTGTTATTTCTCTAGTTCCTTGTGATGCACCTGAATATTTCTCCAGATGGCTCCTATTATTCCCTCCATTGGCTCACGTCCGGCAAATGCTACCACTCTTTTAAAAGTCTCAAAAACAAGAAAGTGTTTAAGAACTTGAAAAATGAAGACATCCCCAAGTGACTGCTGACACGCTTTGCATCAGGCTTTCGGGCAGATCATAAAACAAAAGAAGTGGGAAGAGGGGAACATGGCTCTGACCTTCTAGTAATTTTCTACATTGATGACACTTGCACTTTCTTTTGTACATATTCCAAATCTACAGCATATGGTCAGAGCTCAAATTACATAACAGCACAACATTAACTCTTAAAATAGAAACATGATATTCTAAAAGGGTTCTTAGGCTTACCACAAATTATGAGTGGATATCTGCACACAGTGTCTTACATTAAAAGACATTTTCCCACATAACATCAGATTTGGAATTACTGGATTTCATGCTACCACTAAACATAATTGATAAAGGACAAATGCAGAGAATGTCCCATGGACAGGAAGCCTATAGTTCTATGCATACAAATACACTCACATACACACGCCCATACACACCGTACTCTCTGGCACTGGAACTTTGCTCCTCCTCTCCTTTCTGCCTGGAATGCCTCCATCCACACCTCCCCTTTGCATCTGGCTTACTCTTGCTTGCTGTTTAAGGCTTACCTCTGGCATTGCCTCCTTTGAGCCTACTCTACTCCAGATACAACGTCTACTGCCTCCCTCTCCACACTCCACATATTTTGTGTCTACCTTGACCTTTGTGTTTATCATACTCCCAAGGACCCTCCCTTGATGAGGGCCAGCCTTCAAGTTTAACAATCCTGGCTCAAAATGACTCCCTGGTAGAAGCTGAGTTTTCTCTCTGTACTCCTTTTTGTACTCCTGGCAGAGCCCAACAATTGTTTTGGAAAAAGAAAGAGACAGAGACAGGGAGAAACACAGAGAGGAAGAGAGAGAGGTGTTACTTAGCACATAGAATACAGCACAACTACAAAAAGACAAATAAGATAACAGGTTGAGGGAAATTCATTGTCTAGTAGATATTAAGAAATATTAAAATCAATCTATCAATCAATATGTACTTATTGACAAACTACAATGGATAAATTAACTTGATGATTCAAAGAGTTATAAGATGATGCCATTTAGTTGATGAGTACACTGCAATAATAAGTGATGTGTCAAAGTAATGCACAATTAATTGCTAAATGAGAATCAAAGATAATAAGCCTTCTGAGTCCAGATGACAAAAGTAACACCTTAGAGTATGAAAGCTTTCGGGAGGAAGTAAAATTCATGCCAGACTTCTTGAAGGATGGGTTGGTTTGAGATGGTAGAATCCATCGACCCACACTGCCTTCACCCTACCTACCTCTCATTACACCTTACCTTTACCATGTAACCTTAGCCCCCCAACACACCTAATGTACAGACATACATCAAAGTTCAACTTTCATTTTCTTCTCATTTAATCTTTTCTCAACAGGTATCTTCACTCTAAAGATACTACATTTTAAATCCTTGGGTTCATTCCCAAACCTAGATCTTTGGAACCTGCCTTTTACCTGAGCACACTCCTTCCTCCCCTGTAGCTGTTTATCTTTACTTGGGAATCACTGCTACAAATATATCCTGCCGGTGTCCCAGACTCTACCTGCTCAAAACAAAGCACAGTGTCAGCTGCTTAAGACCAATTAGGTACTCCCTATTCTGCTCCTATTTCTTCCCACATTGATTAGTGGCATTACCATGCTTAAAATCACCCTGGGCTTAAAAACCTAGCATTGTGTTACTTCTTTCCTTCCCCCAAATCCCACATCCCTTTGGGGACCTGATCTCTGAGTTCCCTGCTAGAAGCTCTTCCTACAACATCAGATCTCCCAGAGAATACTGATGTTCTTCTCATGCCCCCACAGTTGATCTTATGGTATGGTTATTTGTACATTCATATTCTCCAACGTTTGGGGCCAAAAAGGACCCAAAGCTCCTGCCACTTTTCAGAGTTCTCTGCTCTGGGACTCCCATCATGATGCTGAGTGACACCAACTAGACATGAAAGCCCTTTCTCTGATCCCTGCTCCCCCAGGAGTTCCTTCCCCCTCCTCCCTTTCTTGGTGGTGGTCTCTTTGCAGTTGCCTTTGGAGGTTCTCATGTGGTGAGTGACTCCCTCAGAAGCAAAACTTGTGAAAGCACCACCCAAATTAGGCTTGTGGTATGCCTCTGCTACCTCATGGTCATATCTTTTTTCTCCATCAGCACCCTAATCCCTGGAACTCGCTGCAATGATGATTGAATAAACACAGTAAGGAATACAAAGAGGTCCATGACAGCTTTGATGTTTTAAGTGTGGGTGTGACTGAATGACTGAATGACTACACAAGAAAAATTTAATTTTAAAAAGTAGCATAGAATGCCTCTCAAAAAGTGAATATGTTGTGTTTTGTTATGATAATAAGATTCTCTAAGGACAGGCTAGCGCAGGGAAAAAAACAAGGACTAAACTCCCTGGCATAAGTAGTTAACAGGAACTGGGGGGCTGGAGAGTGAAGGTGGAAGAAAGGAGTGAGGGGCTATTGAGCAAAACAGCAGCAGGTTAAGGCCTGCAGAGAAACATCAGCCAACAAGAAACGCCCAATAATAGGGATGGCCAATATTTCATTTTAGGTAGTTTGGTGTGGGCTTCTGCAATATATTGCTACCACTCCCACCATCCCATATCTTTATTAAGACCTTATCCAAGTGGCATTTGGACACATCAAGGAAACTATAGCTGGTTTAGTGTAGAGCTGAGAGAACAGGACAGAAGTAACATAGAAGCGAAATATTGAAGGGAAATCAGATCAAAACCTGGTGATATGGTTTGCCTCTGTGTCCGCACCCAAATCCCACCTCGAATTGTAGTCCCCATGAGCCCCATGTGTCAAGGGCGGGACCAGGTGGAGGTGATTGGATCATGGGGGCAGTTTCCCCCATGCTGTTCTAGTGATAGTGAGTGAGTTCTCAGGAGGTTTGATGGTTTTATAAGTGTCTGGCATCCTCCCCCGCTTGCCTTCACTCCATCCTGCCACCCTGTGAAGAAGGTCCCTGCTTCTCCTTTGCCTTCCTCCATGGTCATAAATTTCCTGAGGCCTCCCCAGCAAGGTGGAACTGTGAGTCAATTAAATCTCTTTCCTTTATGAATTACCCAGTGTCAGGTATTTCTTCATAGCAGTGTGGCAACAGAGTAATACACATGGCCATGCCCTTTCTCACCAGTTCTAGTCAAGAGAGTATTGGAAGTTCTGGCCAGCGTAATCAGGTAAGAGAAAGAAACAAAGCATATTTGAATAGAAAGAGAGGAAGTCAAATTGTTTTTGTTTGCAGATGACATGATCCTATATCTAGAAAACCCCATCGTCTCAGCCCAAAAGCTTCTTAGGCTGATAAGCAACTTCAACAAAGTCTCAGGATACAAAATCAATGTGTGAAAATCGCTAGCATTCCTATACACCAGCAACAGGCAAGCAGAAAGCCAGTCATGAATGAACTCCCATTCACAATTGCTATAAAGAGAATAAAATACCTAGGAATACAGCTAACAAGGGAAGCGAAGGACCTCTTCAAGGAGAACTACAAACCACTGCTCAAAGAAATCAGAGAGGACACAAAAAATTGGAAAAACATTCCATGTTCATGAATAGGAAGACTCGATATTGTGAAAATGGCCATACTGCCCAAAGTAATTTAGAGAGTCAATGCTATTCCCATTAAACTACCATTATAGGAGAATGAGATGGGGGACCAGGTTAGGATGAAGAAGTATGGATTTCATTTTGAACACATTGAGTTTCTGGTGTCTTTGAGACAATGGGCAGTGGGCTACCCAAAGGCAACTCAGAGAAGAGATCTGGAGTGGATATAAATGAAGAAGTGGCGAGCACACAAATGGCCGGTGAAACCCTGGAGCTGGATGCTGCTGTTGAAAGGCAGAGCACAGAACAAGAGGAGAAGAGAAGAGGGACTTGGAGCCTTTAGGAGCATCAATATTTAATGGCTTGATAGAAAATGATGAGGAAGCTGAGGAGACTAAGTAAGAAGGGCTGAGAAATCGAAAAAGAAAGAAAATCCAGCAGAGTGTGTTGGAGTGTGCTGGTTCTCGAAACACAATAAGAGAGATTTCATAAGGGCATAAAGAGTCAGTGGTGCCCTTTGAAGGGTCACAAGATCATACAGACTGATATAAGCAAGGTCATCAGTGACTTAGGGAGAGCTGTTTCCATGAACTAATGGTGATAGGAAGCAGAAAATGGAGATGAAAAGCATCATCAACTCTTCCGAGAATGTTGGCTGAGATGGAAAGAGAGGAAGGGTGTCAGCTGAGTAGGTTTGTAAGATTAGGCTATCAAATTTTTAGGAACTACATTTTTTAAGATGAAAGAGGTTTGAACATGGAAAATGGGGAAACCAGTGAAGCAGGAATTTGATCAGAGGTAGGAGGAGAGACAGAGGAATGTGATGAGGAACAACAGTTATAAAGCTAAAATTCTGATTCAGTCTTGATTAAAATGAAAAGAAAACATGTTCTGACAAGAAGACTTCAAAGGATAATCTGCTTGGCATATCTTGATAATTCAAAACACTGTATTGGTTATTTCCATTCTTAGCAAGAGAAGAAAGAAGACAGAAAACATCAATATCCCAATGGTTGAAATCACAATGACCAAGAAGCAAGCTTAGAAATAAGCTAGAAGGGCCAAAGGTTTTATTTAAATTAAAAACTTTACATGCCATGTCTTGCTGTTATGAATTAGATTCTCTCGTGAACATTTACAAAAATAGGACAAGAGGCTTTCAAAGATATTCGAGTCTTAACTCCAAAATTTTGTTTGATCACCCAGGTCTGAACTCTCTTATTGCATAACTAATGTATATCATACATAAAATGACACTTCTCAGGAAATTTCATTTTTTCTTTAGCTATAAAATATGATAATTTTAAAAAACTCTATTTTCTCATTTCAGCTGTAGTTAACCTCACCAGCCTTGTGTTAATTATAAACATACAATTACATGTAAGTATAGATATAGATGTAGACGTAGGAATAGATATATTAATTATAAAGATAGACTAACATAGTCATAGGCATAGATATACATTTAAACAAAGGTATGATATTATGAGCTCTTCTGTTGATAAAAAAAAAAAGTTTAAGTCCCTTTGGGTGTGGTTTACATTGGGCTTGTAATAGATTTTAATCAAAACACAATACAACACAAGTTTTTAATCTGAACTTGATTTTTTCCATAGTGTATAAATTAAGAAAGGGACAAATGAGAGATGGGATAACCCATGGTGTTAAGGGCTACAGAGAGGTCAAGGGAGGAAATTCCAGGAAAGGACTCATTCCTGGATGACAGGGAAGTTTGATGGTCTTTTCAAGTGTGCTGCACAGAAAAAGATGTATGAGAGAAAATGAAATTTCAGGGAAAGATTAGGTGGTGAAAAAGTAAAAGCTTGCAAAATTAAGAACAGAAAAAGTGAGGGTGTCAGTCTTACGAGAAAATTCTTTTGGAGAAGATAGGAGAGGAGAGAAGGGGGAGAGATGAATACCAGTGTATTAGTGAAAGATAAAGGGAAATGTTTAACATTGAGCTATTAGCTAGTGTTATCAATCATAGTCCCCCATTTTTATCTGTTTTTGACCTATTTCCATTTTCTTTGGGCTCCTCTGGGAACAAAGATATCTTTGTGAAGCCTTTACTCCCTTTCATCATTTAATAATTGCTTCTACTTTCCAGAATTTACTAAAAAGGCTATTTCTCAGCCCTGGGAATGTACTGGCATTAAAGGTGAGAAACAGAAGCTGTACTTTGAGCTCTTCCAAAGAAAATCACTTCAAAAATCAAAGGCATTGCTATATTGTTATTATTCTCTCCTTCCCCTGAAGGCTTGGCATGACATTATTTTCAATGCTCAAAGAGAAGTCTTTTCGTTTAGCCATTATATTAATAATCTGTGACTCTAAAAATGGAATGGATATATAAACTGATCAACCTAGCCTAATAATCTCCTCTTTCCCTTAGTTTCGGAGCTATGGATCTGAGCCAAGAATCAGAAATAGGAACATTGTAACTCATTTCATCTTCCATGTAAATCACATCCAGCAGTGCATAAATTGTGAGGGAGGGCATAGAGCCAAGTCCCATCAGCTCTGTGCAAACCGATCCACAACCTCAACAGGCATTGATAGCATGAGATGTTAATTCATGAATAATCTTTCCATGTTTTACACTGTTATATAACCAGTTGCTTTTTATAATGATATTGGAATAATGAACAATTGGAATGATGAGTTGAGGACAAAAATATGAAGTTATTTTTTAAATAAGTAATAAATATATCTAAGAAAAGTACCAGTTATTCTCTATCAAGACAAAATTGAATGGATCTTAACAATACTCAGAAAAAATAATAACTAGTTAACTCCTAGTCAACATTTTCCCCACTTAGATAGCTCCTTATATCAAAGGTATCACCCATAGCGAAGTATCTAATAACAGCCTGAGGGGAAAGAATGTTTTAAACTCCAAATGTAATTCATACATGGCAGTTCATGTAATTGGAAGTCATCTGTAGATGAGCAGGTTCTAAAATAAAACATTGTAGCAGTAGGTAAATGTGATTCCAAGTTGTGACTGCTCAACATGTTCAGTAATTTGATTTAGTTATAGATAGGTAGACAGACAAGCAGACAGAGATAGATTAGATAGATAGACAGATAGATAGATAGATAGATAGATAGATAGATAGATAGATAGATGTAATGACAGATATAAAAAAAGCAACTTGAGCTCTTTGTGTCTATTGACCAACTACAGTTTATTTACATCCTTATAGAGCCCACTCAAATTATTGCAAAATACATGTATTTCTAAACATATCCATTACTTGGAAATGAAAGAGACATTAGAAGTCTGCACAGTAGAGGAAAATTCTATAAAATAAACCAATCTAATATGAAATAAGCACAGAGTTTAAAAATATTTTCTTTTCCAATAGTCAGAATTAGAAAAACTGATCCCATTGAAACATGAAAATATTCTAGATGTTGAGACATAAAAACATCTTTGGATACCTGAAAAGTAAACTAAATAGGAGACCTGTTTTTGTTTCTGAGTTAGTGATGATATCGATTATACAACATGATTCTTTAAAGACCAGAGTGTAGGCTCCATGTTTTGTTCACTGATATATCCCAAGATCCTAGAATAATATCTGGCACACAGCAGTGTTTATTAAATATTTATTACATTGAATTGTTGCTGGCATTCCTAGCATGGAAATTGTAGAATAAGGTGTCCTCTACCTGATCTATCATTTAGTTATAACTATTACTCTCAACAAAAAATAAAATTAGAAAATATTCATTTGTCGCTTAACGTTTATGAACAACTTGCCACACATATCCTCATCCAGTTCTCCAGGTTCTGCACAGCCTGGAGGCAGCTGGGCATCAAGAGCCCACATTGGAACCCCTGTCTGATGCCTGACTCTGTTCTCTCCCACTGTCACTGTTAAGGGTTGTGTCCCCTCTGCCCCCAAAATTCACATGTTGAAATCCTAATCCACAATTCCTCAGAATGTGACCTTGCTTAGAAATAGGGTCATTGCAGATGTAATTAGTTCAGTTAGGATAAGGTCATACTGTAGTAGGACAGACATGATTAGTTGCTTTATAACAAAGGGAAATTTGGACTCAGACGTGCACACAGGGAGAAGATCATGTGAAGATGAAGGCAGCGATCAGGTCAATGCTTGTACCAACTGGGCAATGTCAATGATTACCAGGAAACCACCAGAAGTTAGGGGAGCCCTAACAGTCCTCAGAAGGAACCAACTCTGCTGAACCCTTGATTTTGGACTTCTGGCCTCTAAAACCATGAGACAATAAATTCCTGTTGTTTAAGCCACCCAGTGGCACTTCGTGGCAGTCTGTGGCACCCAGTTTGTGGCACTCATTTATTTTGGCTCTAAGCAACCCTAGCAATCTAATACAGCCACCTACTCATTCCTAGCAGTTTGTCAGATGTCCTATCAGGGTACTTGGTAGCCCTGACCTTACAACCACTGGACACTCTCCTGTACAGAGCTGAGAGTTCATGAGATTGCCTCCAATTTATCCCAAAACATCCACAATTATATGTTGTCAATGTCTGACATGTTCTTCCATCTAATGGCACAGCAATTACGCCTGACACCTTTCCCTTACCGTCTCCTGGTTCCTGTGCTCGAGGAGGCATTGTAACCTGGAGGGGGCGGTGGAAACCAGGACTGCCTGTTAAGAAATGACACGGTAATAAACATTGTGATTGAAAGGCTGATCCCACCCACATGTCTGAAAATAATTTGACAGTTAAAAAGACAATGAGATTATACCAAACCTTGGAAGTAAAATGAACACTATTTCATAAATGAAGTAGGAAGTAACTGTCCTATATTCTAGGCTATCTGTTCCTCCAAGTAAACCTCTTTTCTCATTTCCTTTAGCACTAAGTAACGTGGACATCTCTTTTAAAAAGAAATCTAAAGCAAATCTAGAAAACAATGACAATTGTTAAGTCTAGATAGTAAATTCATATATGTTTATTATGTTATTCTCCTATTCTCCCTATTTTTCTGCTTGTCTGAACTATTTCACAACAGAAATAACAATCTTATACTCTACTCTATATATATATATATATATGTTTTATTTTTATTTTTATTTTTGAGACGGAGTTTCGCTCTTGTTGCCCAGGCCGGAGTGTAATGGCGCGATCTCCGCTCACCACAACTTCCGTCTCCCGGGTTCAAGCAGTTCTCCTGCCTCAGCCTCCTGAGTAGCTGGGATTACAGGCATGCACCACCACGCCCAGCTAATTTTGTAATTTTTAGTAGAGATGGGGTTTCTCCATGTTGGTCAGGCTGGTCTCGAACTCCCGACCTCAGGTGATCCACCTGCCTCGGCCTCTGAAAGTGCTGGGATTACAGGCATGAGCCACTGCGCCCAGCTTCAAAATATAATTTTTTTTTTTTTTTTTGAGATGTAGTCTCGCTGTCTCCCAGGCTGGAGTGCAGTGGCGCGATCTCGGCTCACTGCAAGCTCCGCCCTCCGCGATTCTGCTGCCTCAGCCTCCGAGTTGCTGGGACGAGGTTTCACCGTGTTAGCCAGGATGGTCTCGATCTCCTGACCTCGTGATCCACCCGCCTCGGCCTCCCAAAGTGCTGGGATTACAGGCTTGAGCCACCGCGCCCGGCCTCAAAATACAATTTTTAAAAAACTGTGAGCGAGCTAGGCGCAGGGCCTCACACCTGTAATCCCAGCACTTTGGGAGGCTGAGGCGGGTGGATCACGAGGTCAGGAGCTCAAGACCAGCCTGGCAAAAATGGTGAAACCCCATCTCTACTAAAAATACAAAAATTAGCTGGTCGTGGTGGCATGTGCCTGTACTCCCAACTACTCGGGAGGCTGAGGCAAATAATTGGTTAAACCTGGGAGGCAGAGGTTGCAGTGAGCCGAAATTGCACCACTGCACACTCCAAAAAAAAAGAAAAAGAAAAAAGAAAAAGAAAAGAAACTGATAGAAAACTCTGACAAGTAAAAATATTGAAAGCGTAAGTGAATATTATAGCAGCACTACCTTCAGTTCTAACCTCAATTAGAAAGATGTCCTCACATCACTAGGTCATAATTTTAGTTGGTAGCAATTGCTAAGCAGAAAGATCAAGATATGGATGAAAACTGAAGATATTCAGATGAGAATGATATGCACTACAGAAGAAAAGGCAGACAGGAAAGCTGGATTTAAATTGTTTAAGTAGGTCTATTCTCTGAGCCGCTGCAGAACTCAACTAAGACAAGGAACGAGTCAATCAAGGCAGATTCCAGCTCAATGTAAGGAATAGATGCTACCCAGGAGAGCAAGTCAAAGATGTGTCCCAAAATAGTGAGAATCTTATTGATGGCTTCAGTGGTCCCGAATTATGCCCAAAATGTCGGAGGAAAGATTCTTGCACTAGATAGGAGATGGAACTGACTGACCTAAAATTTCTCTTTCAAACTTAGGAATCTGTTTTTACTAGGCAAAGGGTCAAGGGACATGAAATTTGGGTTCAATGGAAAGATGAATCACATTTTCTAAGACTTTGCAGCTACAGCCAGAATTTTGTTGAAGGAAAAAACAGAATCAGTCATTTTTCTCCAGCAGCACCATGGCAAAGTCAGCCAGTCCATCAACAAACATTGAGCACCTACCCTGTACAGAGCATGGACCCAGGTACAGACAGGGAAATTGAGAAAATTTAAAAGCACTGATGTTTGTAAATGCTTGTTTTCCATTTGCATCACAATTCATAGCCCTGGGGTTTTTTCAACATGCAAACATCTCTTTCACCATCATGTTCTGTCTCATGAAGAATATTTGGTCACCATTGGTCCAACTACTCCTCTGTACCTGCTAATTACATAGGACTCAGCACCAGCAGAATGTGGGAGACCATGCAGAGGAGGTCGGTGGAGGAGGCAAGAACCAAACAAATACAGATGGATGTCTCCAGAAAGGGTCTTTGACTCTGCATTTGGAAGCAAGGCCAGCCCAATCCACAGAGCAGAGGCGGCATCTCCAGATACAGGCCGGTTTCAGGAGCATGGCAGCATGTGGCCCTACATTCATCATTATTTCAGGTTAAGGCATTCCCAGCAGCAGGACTCCATGAAACATGCTACCTCAAGTAGTCTGTCATTTAACATGCGAGCTCTATCATCTAAAACATTTCCTAGAAATTCAAGGCCCTACAGGAATTGAAAACAAGACTCTATATTTGAGAAAGAGATTGCTGGGGGAAAGAGCTGAAGTTTGGGAACAGCAGAATGTAGATGCTGGATCCCCACAAAAAAGAGGAGGAAGCTTTCTAATGCAGTCTTTCATAGTGTATCAGCAAGAGGTAGACACAGTGAGTTCATCCTACCTCTTCTTCTTTACAGGAGTAGTAGCAGAAGTGGATGCTATGGTGTTGGAGGTGTTGGCATTCAATGAACCGCCAGGTTGCCTGTTTAATGACAAGAACAACAATTAATCCCACTCTCAAACTTTTTCATTTCAGCCTACCTTTGAAAAGTCTTAAATTCTACTCATATTCCTGCCTGCTCTCTGTTCATAAAATGTTTCACTTGGGGATAGAAAAACAGCCAAAAATCTTCTTCCTTAGTTGACATATTTTAGAAGTTGTCAGGTTCTCATAGAACTAGCTAAAACTAAAGGAATAGAATAAAGAAGTGATTCATAAAATGACATTAACTGTCGGAAATTCAGACAAATCAATTCTGGCGTGCTACAGATTCACATTTCTTTTATTCCTGTGATTATATTGTGACTAACTAATTATGTTGCGGTTTTTTGCATTAGAAGCATTATTGCTTAATAAAAAATTTTAAATCATACCATCTTAAGTCTCTATCTGGCATTTATTCATATATGCAGAGCCTCAAAAATGGAAGTGACCCAGGCCCATTTCAAGCACTGAGAGGTGTGATCCAGTGTATAAATTACTTTATACATAAATAGGAATTCAAAAATAAAGTAAGTTTATAAATCTGTCTGATTTGGGCTGCTTATAACCATCAGTAGTACATTCCAGGGAAAATGTGTTCCATTTAAATAGATTTTTAGCTCACCCCATGTTTTCCCAATTCAATTTTCTCTGAAGGAGGAGGCATAGATGTGAAGGGTGGGTGGGGAAGGAAGTGAGGTGTGGAGGAAGGGTTAATTATTGTGAGAGTAGAGGGAAGAAAAGTCCTGTAGGGGAAAAAATAAGGAGTCTAGATTTTAATAAAGAAGAAGAAAGAAAGGATGATCTAAGCTTTGGTGTTTGGATAGAGTAATGATTGGCAATCTTTTTTTTCTGCAAAAGTCCAGATAGTCACATTTGAACCTTTACAGACCATTTTGGTATTGTCTTCTACTACTCAACTCTGCCAGAGCAATAGGGGCATGGCTGTATTCCAATAAAATTGGCCTGAGGTGGTTTTCCCTGGTTTTTCTTGAATACATAAAAAGAAATATACTACAATTAGAAAGAATACATACAACTTTGTTACTTCCAGTGATCTAAACATGGACATGCTCCTGGTAAGAGAGAAAGAAAGCAAAGTTTGAACAATGAAGAATGAACATTTGCATCTATTTGGAATTATTCCTGAATTTAGAGTTTTAAAAGTTAGACACTGGTGAGAGAAAGAAATAGAAAGCATCATATTTTAATAAATTTCATAAGATGATTTCATGATTTTGTCTCTTGTACTAGATTCCAAAGAATTTTTTTTCTTCTGAAAATTTAGTATCTTTTAAGCCCAATATTTTTATTTGTTGGGTTCAGTAATTTTCCTTAACAATAATAATGTAAAATTTGCATTTGCACCTATTTCATAATTTTGCCACCAGGACAACTTAAACAGAAACATAAATGTGGTAAGAATGGTGATTTGGAGCTACAAGTGCTCTTGATTCTTAAGCTAAACAACAAGGTTTTATTCTAGCCATGAACAGGAGTAATGATAGAGACTAAGAATTTACAGAAAGATATCAAGTAGGATTGAAGAATTGCAAGTACATAGGTAACACTTAGAAAAATATTATACTTGAGCCTTTCCCATAGTTAGTAGATACTGGTACCTATTGGTTAGTTGGTTATCCAAGGTATTGGCCTTATATGTTTTAGCAGCATCATTTCTGTCTGAGATCCTTTATAAAGAAACAAGACAAAAGTCTGGATAAATATTTAAATTATCAAACTCCTTTCAGACCATTTTCATGCTAGAATAGCTTAACAACATAGCCTTTCTCTAGTAAAGAGAACTATTTTTCAAGTGTTACATTTTAGAAAATTTTTAAATAAAAAGAAACCACTTATGACAAAATCTACTTATGAGGTTGTTTTAATATAGTTTGAAATTTTATTTTATTTTTTGAGATGGAGTCTTGCTCTGTTGCCCAGGCGGGAGTGCAGTAGTGTGATCTCAGCTCACTGCAACCTCTGCCCGCAGGGTTCAAGCTATTCTACTGCCTCAGCCTCCTGAGCAGCTGGAACTACAGGCACGCACCCCTACGCCCAGTTAATTGTTGTATTTTTAGTAGAGAAGAGGTTTCACCATGTTGGCCACACTGGTCTCGAACTCCTAACCTCAGGTAACCCATCCGCCTCCACCTCCTAAAGTGCTGAGATTACACGTGTGAGCCAAGGCACCCAGCCTGAAATTTTAAGTGTTATGCCTTTTGCCTGTTTGTCTTTCTGACTCATTGAGCATTTAACTCTATTTTCATTTTCATTATTTTCTAATGATATATCTTGTCAATGACAGTACTTCCTATGTCAGTAAAAGGCATCAATGAACTACTTGGCTTTTTTTTTAAGGTTTGTGGCATAAACAATATTATGTGTTTGCAAAACACATTTTCTTTTCTTTCTGAGCAATCAGGGAGACCACATTTTCCAACCTTCATTGCAATTAAGTTGGGGCCATGTGATTGAGCTCTAGACTAAAGAGTGTGGGCAGATACGTTATCTGCCACTTCCAGACCCATTGTAAAACCTCCTGGTGGTCTTCCTTGTTATTTATTCCCCCTTCTACTATGGCTTTGGTATGCATGGCAGCATAAATATGGCGGCATTAAAATATAGAAAGAACTTAGGTCCCTGAGTCACTTCATGGACTCCAGCAAATCACATTGGACTCTGATGTGTCAAGTAGTACCTTATAGTGTGTTAAACCATTAGATTTGGAAGAGAGGAAGCAGATTTGTTAAAAAGTTACTCTACCTTGACAAATTAGTTTACTTTGACTAATACATGTAATGAGTCCAAATGATCATTAGAGATTTTAATCATTCTAATCTCATAGATCTAGAAAAGGTGTGTTCATCTGCTTCTTGAGTCAGAAAGCACAAATAAGGAAGGTTATCATTATATGCCAACGGTGGGATCTCATAACTTCGGCCCCTGTTCCTTCTTTCCTTGTCTCATACCTAGTACTTCTTGCTGGTCATTTGATATGTTTTTTCTACTCTCTAGAACATCCCTACAAGGTAGGTATAATGATTTTCATTTTATAGATAAATAAATGGAGTCTCAGAGTTATTGCATGGCTTTCTCTTGGTAACACAAGTAGAAAGTAGTCTATCTCCCAAATCGTTCACTGGGATCCAATGTCATATATTCGATTCTGTAGTATGATTGTTCCCAAAACTCATATATTAGGTTAACAGACCTTCCTTTACTCTTTAGTCACCTCTCATAGTCTCTATCATGCTACCCGGGGAATAAGTCTATCAATGGTAATGGAGAGAACTCTAAACCACCATTCCAATATGTATGTTGATTTCTTATTGCTGTGGGAGATTAATTTTGTATTTATCCTGGAAATTAAATTTCTGTCAACTTGTGATATAAAATAGGTTGTTTTAATAAAAATCTGTCTTGGAGACTTGAAATACCAAACAATGTAATTAGCAGCATGATCAGAAAAGCCGAAGGAGAAGTTATACTTTCACAATGGAGCACTAGAGGGCCTCCTAACCTAGGTTTTCCAAATTAGTTATAACCCACTGTCTCTGGATGCTACATACACATTTATTTATGTCTCTTTTGCACACCTCACATTTTACACACATAAGTATATTTTAAAGGGAACTTTTCAAACGTAAACTCAGTACTTTTCTCATATTCATTAAAACAAGTGCATCATTATTAAAATGCAAATGCACACATACCAGATATATTTGATCATCTTCCTCCTAAAATTATTTCATGTCTTACATTTTGGAGTGGTCTGTATTACAGAAGTTCAGCTCCTGCTAACAGGACTTGCCTTTCTTTACTAACCCCTGTGTTCTCTTCCTCAAATCTATTTCCACATTTAGTGCCTTGGGAATGAGCTGCCAGGATACTTTGCCCAAACATACCACTAAAGTGTGTAAATAGATCATGTAATCTCTGGGCCTGCTTTTGAGGGTATAAAATGAAGGGCTTGAGCTATATTGGTGGTTCTGAATCTCAGCTGCACATAAGAATTACTCTATAAGCTTGAAAAAAAATGCTTGAGTTCCACCTCAGGCTAATTAAATCAGAATTTGGGGAGTGAGGGGTAGTAGGACCAAGGCATCAATAAAGTTTAAGAGCCCACTCAGTGGTACTAATTTATAGCTAAGGCTGAGAATGACCTAACTACATTGCCTGTGAGGTCTAGTCTATTTCCCACATTCCTAGGCTGTATCTCGGCTGGCCTGACATAAACGTTCAGATGCACAGCCTACAAAAGCTTAGGTTTTCCACCTTACTTGAGTCTCAATTATCTCACTTTAAAATTCATTCCTAGAAATAGGGTTTCCTTCTTCAATTAACCATCTGCAAGACCAGGATGAATGGACAGAGGTATTTTATATACCTCTTCTCTATGCACCGCTGTGGAGATGAGATCTTGTACATATACTACAAACTCATTTTTGACAAGGATGATAATTTTTAAAAGAGAAAGACCAACTCTTTAGGATACCAGCATTGATTGTCCTCTATTAGGGTGACTGACTTGAAAGCCTAGGAATAATGCAGAAGGTATATACATTTGCTACATTAATCAACACTGGCATAGTCTGAGTTTAGAATCTATTGGATGCTGTAAGTTACCATGTATTTGCTTAAAACCCAGTAGGTGCCATTTTTGCCTGCAATTGCAGCACATCTTTAGCTGCAGGGAGTAAACTCAACTAGCACTGGCTTTGGGTACTTATGGTGCCTATTTAATAGGAGTCCAAAAGACTCCTATTAAAGATGCTAACTTTGTCCTTTACTTATGCTTACTAAGCGCCTCTACCAAATCTAAACTAAAAATTTGATTTGTGGCATTTATACTTCAACCTGAATAGAAGTTGCCCTATTTTCCCTGTAGAGATGAGCCCTTTCCCTCCATGTAAGAAGGAACTAACAGGAGGCACACACGTTGGACTCATTCTATCAGCCCTATGGAGACTCCAGTGTCAAAAGAGTATTTTCACCTTCTAAAGAGAAAGTAAAGAGCTAACGTCTCTGTCCTGGAGTGGATTGAAACTATTGTATTATTAAAATTTACAGTCTCTCCATAAAGCAGTTGCATGGACTAACGTTTTTCCACCATCAGTGTGGAAGAACCAAATGTTGGAACAAGGATTATACATATTCGCAAAAAAAAAAAAAAAAACCTATATTGAACTAACAGATTCTGCACAGTACCCACCCTAGCTGTACTCAAATCAGTGTCTCTAAGAATATTTCATATCAATCTACTATTAAAAAGATTTTGGAAATGCATCTAGCCAAGATTTAGTGAGATCTGAAGAAGATAATTCAATTCTTAGAGCCCTCCATCCCTGGGAATAAAATATCAGTGATTCAAACCTTATTTTGGTAAACTTTTAAATACTTCATAACTTTATTAGAAAATGTATTTAATATGTTATGCATTCCATTTATATGGTTCAAAAGCCCCTTACCTGTCCAAAGTGTCATCAGAACTGTACCGACTAATTGTAGCTTTTGGCACATCTCTCTCATTTACTTTCCTGTAGCAAACATAATTACCAAAAAAAAAAAAATCAAATCAATTACAAAAAAAAAGTTTATAAAACCTATCATACATATGGCAATATTTTGACCTATTTCAGTAGGAAATATACATGTTACCAAGGAAAGATAGATTTCTAATACCCAAATCTTCCAACTTGGATAGAATAAATTATGGAAAATCCAATATCCTATGCTAATAAAAGATTCTTCTCTGGCTTCTATTATTTCTGACAACAATGTAACATATTCAAATTAGGGGTAAGGATACGTAAATCATACAACACAACAAACAACACAACACTCAAAATGTTTAATAACTAATATGTACTCTTGTCAATGTTGTTTATTTCTACATAATAGGAACTCAATCTTTTATACTCAACTATATTTTGTTTGCAGAGTTTTAGCAGTGCCATAAACCAGCACCATGGACTAAATCCATAAATGCTTTGTTTAATATTCAGCACCGTGGACAGGGTTGAAAGAAGGGAACTTACAGGCAGAAGGAGGGGAAAGACAGGAAAGAAAGGAAAGGAAAGGAAGGAAACAGGAAAAGCTGGGGAAAATGAAAAGGAGAAAGTGGGAAGTGAGAGAAAGGAAGGATAGAAGGAAAAGAGGAAGAGAGAAGAGTGATAGGAAGAAGAAGAGGAGAGACAAGGGCAAAGAGAGGAGAGCAAGACAGATGAGCAAAAATGGGGGGGGAATTTAGAAAATAACAGAAAAGAGGATAGAAGACTCAGTAGAAGGAATCGTGATCATGGAAGCAAAGGAAAGATCCTGATCAGATTGATCAAACATTTAAAAAAGCCTGTTTAATGCCTCATATAACCCTATGATATAAAGCAAGCAAGCTCTTTGGAGAATTCCCCATTATTTATTGTGTTTGTATTTCTAAGTATCATTTAAAGCCATCATATCCAAAGTATTGCATTAGAATAAGTACTAAGACTAGATACTAAAGATTTAATTTTAAAGTTGATGTGGCATATTTTCATTAAGCAACTATTTGGATGTACTCAATATAAAAAGGGCTAGGAATAGTGCAAAAAGCATATTTGCTATATTAGTAGTGGAGAAAGTAACATTTGCTATATTAATCAACACTGTTGTACTGAGAAATATAAGGAAGTCTAGAATAAAATAACTATAGCTGCTATCTACACAGAGCAAGACGGATAAATCAGGTATGTACATCCAAAGACAGAAAGTAGTGAGTGCCATAAAAGAGGTTTGGGTAAGGTGTAAGGAAGTTCTAAGCTGAGAAAGCTGATTTCTAGGTATACAAACCAGAGGAGGCTTTATGGAATGAAGTGCAGTTTGAGCTGGGCCTTGGAGGGGAAATAGATGTGAACATTTTCGAATAGAGGTAGAGGGAACAGCATCAGTTAAGGCAAGAAAAAGAGTGAAGAAAAATGCCAAATACAACTCCCCCAATTTTTAATACAACCCCAGAGTGAAATCATGGTGTGGTTCACCATCGTGTGTAAATGTGTAAATGCAAGCAGGTGCCGGAGGGCCATCTGTCCCCTTGCAGAAAACAGCCCCTCCCCAGACACCATCACTATGTCTCTAGGTGGCCGTTGTCTTCCTACTGCTTATCACAATAAGACATGTTTCAACATGTTATTTTCATTCTCTCCCCTCCCTCACTTTCAACTAGGATGCAAGTTCTGTGGAAGCAGGGACTTTGTTTTGTTTGCAGCTCTTAACACAGCTACTGATGCACAGGAGGCCTCCTACAGGTGCTATTTGGCTGTCATCCTTATTTGACATGTTTAAATGATCTACCAGAACATGTACATGGTCAAACTTTCCAATTGTGGATAATATGAAGGTATTATCTAAGGTGATGACAGTGTATTATTTATTTTCCTTTATTTTCAGACCCCACTCATGCCAGCTCTCTGCACACATTGTCATCTCTGCTGGAAGTGCTTCTTTCCTTGCTCCATGCCCACCAGCCAGCCTTGCCCATTTGGGAAATTTTTCCTCATAATCCTTCAAGCATCATCGCCAACACCAAAGACCACCTCCTTGGTGAGATCTCTGATTATTTAGGCAGAGTTAGTCTCCCCTCTTTTCTATTCCCATAGTGCACTCACACACCTCTACTATAGCACTTTCCGTGATAAACTTTAGTATTTTCATTTGTGGATATTTTCAGGTCAAAGATTATGTTCTATGCATCTTTGTATTCCTGGCACCTTGCACAATGCTGGCACATAGCAGGTGCTCCAAAGTGGCTGTTCAGTGGGCATCAAGGTAAAGACATCCTCTGCAGAGCAGAAAAATGACAAGTGATACCCTCTGAGCAAGTACCAGGAGAAAAATAATCTGCCCTACTCTTTTAGGGAGATTGATTCTGTGATGTTAGTTATAGGTCAAGAGGGAAATGTCTAGGGCTTACAGATTTTTGTTCCTTAAAAGACTGATATTATACTTTAGCCACAATGTTGGCCACCATGAGGAAGGGTTCAGGAAACGAATACAATTTAAAATATGAAATAAGCATGAAAGGCATTAAGCTCTTGTTAACCTAAAACACATTGTATGTACATTAAGAATATGAAGCGTATTTCACACTTAAAAAACACAAGCATTTCTGTTCTTAAATGTTCCAGAGAAAGGTGAGTAACATAGAGGTGGCTGGACTCAAATGGTGAGCCTCTCCTTTGTTGGTGGAATCAGAGCCAGCTGAGAACCAGGCTGTGATCTTCAAAACCATAAAGACTAAGGACAGGGCCTCGGCAGAGAGTCTGCCAGATCACAGAACAGTAAATCAGATGAACTAAAGCTGGCATCAGGAAAATGAAATGGCAACTCTGTGTAGAAGGTTATAAGCTCAGCACCCTTAAAACAGGTCACAATTATGAAAAAGTTTAAAAGGGTTGACAGAAATTCATAAACAAAAGTTTCCAAAATAGACGTGTCCCAAGTGTCTGCTTAACTTTTTAAGATCCACACCATAGAAGACATTCACACTCCCTTTCTAATTACATTTAAATGACAAACAGACACAAGCTACTAGACCAGATAAAATTTGTGTCTGATAAATAATTAGGTTCTTCTGATGGGTGTGGTTGTTTGTATGGATGTGAGTACAACTGTGTTGTGGTAAGAATATTCTCTATTTTTATCAATCTGAGATTATTTGTATCATTGTGATTACTGTTTTGTCTTAATTTTTCTACTAATTTGCTTTGATCAGTCTATTTGCCACTGAGGATCAGTTCATGTTTTCCCACTAGCCCAGGAGTTTCCAAAAAGAAAGGTACTGTCCCATAAAGCAAGTGAACTCTGTAGTTGTTATTTCTGTATTTTAGACTTCCTTTCCCTAAGGTTCAGAGATATGTAATCTGGTCATGTTGCTGTTGTTGTTTGTTTGTTTGAGAAACAGGGTCTTCTTCCGTCACCCAGGCTGGAGTACAATGGAGCATCACTGCCCACTCCAGCCTCAATGTCCCAAGGTCAGGCAATTCTTCCACCTCAGCCCCTGGAGTAGCTGGGACGACAGGTGCGCACCATCACACCTAGCTAATTAATTTTTTTTTTTTTTTTTTTAGAGGCAGGGTCTGGCCATGTTGCCCAGGCTGGTCTCTAACTCCTAGGCTCAAGAGATCCTCCCAACTTGGCCTCCCAAAGTGTTGGGATTACAGGTATGAGCCATGGCACCCGGCCTGATATGATCGTGTTTCTATGAGAGTCCTTTCCCTGCCTGTCAGGAGGATCACCTCAGTGGGATGCACAGAGGGTTGGTTATGTTCTGCCTCCAAGTCATGGTTCTGGAGAGGCAGAGTTTCCTTGTGGAAACCTCTGATGATATCACAGATTCTCCTTCACATGCCCAGAACATCGGGGAAAGCCCAAGGCATGCTGCAAATATTCAGCTGTCTTGAACAAGTCTTCTCTGAAAACTACCATCTTTGTGTTTCTGCTCATGATGTAACATGTCTAAACACCCACCTGTCCAATGCATCATGGGAATTATGTCGGTTGAGCACCACCCTACCGTAATTTTCATCTCTGCAAAGAAAGAACAAAAGTATGTCACATAGAAAGTTACCACAATGTTGACCAAGCACTAAATGAGAGAGACATGCGGGCGAGCTCCCAATTTTTGGCAAGGTTAATTCATTTTACTTCAGTTGTGAGAACACAAAATTATGTATCTATTTTAACCAGTCACCACTTGAAAGAGCATGAGAAAAGAAACAAGTTTGTCAGTACAAATGATCATTTATCCCATGAGGTTTCCACATGATTCAACAATGAATGAGTGTTGTGTTGTGTTGTGTTGTGTTGTGTTGTGTTGTGTTTTATCAGACTGTGGGAATATGAGCCCATTTACTTTATATGTATTAGAAGAGTCCTTTTTGGCATGAAGTCAAATACAAAAGCTTTCCACAAATTGTGTTTAAGTTTAAGTAAGCCCATTACGTCTGGGTATGTTGGTGGACTTGACAGTTCTCCTTCATAAAATGTGGGAAACTCAGTACCAATATTTGTGGTTAAGGAGATTTATAATTCACAGGAGACCTAGCCTACTTTTGAACCATGAGAATACAGTTTGCTCTAGTTAGTTGTTAAAATAATCCTATGAATTAGGCAGCGAAGACACTGTCATATCCAGTTCACAGATGAGAAAACTGATAGGGGATTTTGTGGCTTTCCTAAGACCACAAGGTTAGCAAGTAACAGAGGTGGGTCTAGGACCCAGATATTTTCATTCCAAATCATTGCTTTTCCTACTGGTCAACCCTACAATCGACCTTCATATGTAAAATCTCAAAGTAATATCATTCTTACTTTGTACAGTGGAACTGAAAGTACAGGCCCTTTCAGGAAATGTCAAAACACGTAGTGAAGTCTTTGGATTTGAGCCAAGGCAGAAAGTAACTGAACCTATTTCATGTCAACCCAACAAAACCTGAAATACCACATTTTTCCTGGTTATGCTCTACTAACATTACTTAACACTCTGGTACCTTTTTTTTTTTTTTTTTTTTTGTAAGACAGAGTCTTGCTCTGTCGCCCAGGCTGGAGTGCAGTGGTGCGATATCTCGGCTCACTGCAACCTCTGCCTCCTCGGTTCAAGCAATTCTCCTGTCTCAGCCTCCTGAGTAGCTGGGATTATAGGTGCCCGCCAACACGCCCGGCTAATTTTTGTATTTTTAAAGTAGAGACAGGGTTTCTTCCTGTTGGCCAGGCTGGTCTCAAACTCCTGACCCCAAGTGACTTGCTCGCCTCGGCCTCCCAAAGTGCTGGGATAACAGGAGTGATCCACCACGCCCGGCCTCCGGTACCATTTTTAATGAAGCTATAAAAGAACTGTAGTAGACAATTAAACAGAAACATAAACAGTAAAAATGAAACAATGCCAGCAAATATACATTCTCAAAGACCCCGAGAGAACTTTCCTATCTTCCTCCATATCTCTTAATGAAATTTTTGAAAGAGGAGCAGATACCAGACATGTTTTTATCTGAGGCGGAATTATAACACACAGCCCAGAACTGGGCTGGGGGAATCAGGGAAGCATCAAAGCCAATTTTCCCTTCATTCAGTAGCTCCTATGCCATCCAAGCTGGCTTCCCTGGGTTTTCCTGGGAAAGCATGCCTGGCATAAAAGCAACATTCCTCCCAACTGTGATTTGTCTTATACATTCTATCGTCACTCGTCTGTGTAAATATTGGCAATCCAAAATGTATGGTCTACATGTCACATGACACTATCACTACAGAAAATTGGAAATGCTTTGACAGAAGCAATAAATGCTGTTTCATGGAAGGAAATGATTGTTGTCCAATAGTGCTAACTCCAAAAGTTAGTGTGAGTCTCTAAATCTCTAAACACCCATATATTTCCTTGAAATAATACTCAATAACAGAAATTAATAGATATTTTAAATTTAACATTCACAAGAATGCCCCTCAAATAACCATATCTGCAGAGTTTGTAGATAGTTTAGAGTAAGTATCCTATAATGCAGGATTTCCCAACTGCAGGACTATTGACACTTTGGGTTTGATAATTTTTTGTATGGGAGCTGTCCCGTGATTTATAGGATGTTTACCAGCATCCCTGTTCTCTACGCATTAAATACCAGAAGCACTCCTCAATTTTAACAACAAAAATGTCTCCCAACCTTGCCAAATGTCTGCTGGAGGTAAAATTGCCCCTGGTTGAGAAACATTCGTGTAATGGAAAAACAATGGGCCATGTTAAAATCTCAACTCTACCACTAAATAGCTATGTGCCATTAGACAAGTTACTTAGCTTCTCTGAGCTCAGATCCCTCTTTTGTAAAATGAGGAGATATAACACCTACGTTGTGTTTTATTGTAAAATTAGTGGTGCTTTATATGTAAAGTATCTAACACCAAGCTTAATAACAAAGAAATCATAAAATGTCTACATAATTTATAATATACACATAACATAATATATAATCGGACAAATACCTATTGCTGGACAAATACCTATTGCAAATCTATATTGCCAATGAGGCTATATGCCTATGGCCATAGTTTTCAAATCTTTAAACCTCTCAGCTAGTAGAAGCAATGCTCAAAACAAACAAAATTTTGTTGGTTGTAAGTACTTACAAAGTAATACCATATATCCCACCTTCCCAGTACTTAGAAGTAGATGGAACTAAAATAAGTCGGTAATTTTTTAAATTTCTCTTGTACATACCAAAATTTTATATGTTAAATTTGGAATTACACTCTTTTTGTTTATTTCAGCTGACATGATCAACAGAGCAGGATTGTCCGATCATGGATTAACTGTTACCTTTTTGGAAACTGGAAAGTCATGTTTTCTTTTCAGTTTACCAAGTAAGCACAAACATCTATCCTAGGTAATAACCAGGCTCTCTCTCAGTAATGACTCACACTCTCTTATGCATGTGGATATTTAAAATGGCAGAAATATTCTTGAAACTCTGATATGTAACCTATTTGTGCTTACTAAGTCTCACCAAAAATTAGACCATGCAACAAAGTGTTTCAGGAGAAAAGTATTCACTTTTCAGATGAGCATTAGCTTCCCAAACAGATAATGCCTCTCTCTGCCCTTCTGTCCACCCACCACGCTCCACACCAGCTTACTTTTCTTCTTCAGGGCGTTTCTTTATCCAACTGTTATCCTGTAAGAAAGTTCTTCTTTTGTTCACCTCGTGAAAATCCTGCTGCTTCCGTGTGGTTCCCTGAGTGGTGCTCTTCATCTCTATCAACAGAAACATGAAAGACTGGAAGATGTAATAGTGTGGAGTTGAGCGTGGGCTTGTTAACCTGAAAATCCTGAGAGGCACATCTGATTGGCCAGCATCAATCTGGGCTGGCAAGTCCAGTACTGTTTCAAAGTAGGATGCACCAGCAAGAAAGAACAGATCCCACACCCCATCACCAAAGATAACACATAAAGTTGCTCAGGTGCCAACTGAAACTGCCAGTGCCACTCATGAGGCCCCATCCAGTTCCTGGGAAAGGAGAACTCCCAGCCTGGGATAAACTGAGCCAGGATTTAGTGGGTTGGCCTTTTTACCCCATAAGAAATATACCCTGGAAGCCCACAAAAGACTGTTTTTATAATACATAGTAATAGTCAATAAGTCCTGGTCATTTGATTCTAAGTAACTTAATTCTTTTATCCTGTAAGAGCCAAACACAAAGAAGGTCATATTTTTAAAAAGATATTTTTATTAATTTTAAAAAAATTGAATTCCAATTACATGACTAAAAGCTGCGACAAGTATACTTTTTCTTAAGCCTAACTTTGCAATGCTAATTAAATTAGACTGTTGTTTCTAAGCATTCAATATCTGTATTAAAGAATTGAGATCTGTGAGTTGTTTTTCCAAAATTTTAAAGTTTTCTGAGTGAGAGAAACATCATGTACATTACCATTTCCTGTGGGAGACATTTTTCTCAAGGTAACATTGGACATGCTGCCTTCCAGTAAGGACCTAAAAGAAAAATGGGAAATAGAGAAAGCACATCAATGACTCTGAGAACCTGTAAGTGACTGTTTCATGACTGAGATTCACTTTTCAATGACAGTGACATAGTCACAGGATCTGTCATAACAAATGCATGACATAAAGTGCCCCTAAGAACCCAAGAGTTCATCTCTTCCAACATATTTGTTTTACAGATGGAGAAAATGAGGCACAGGGAGTTTTGTGATTCCAGTGTTGTATCATAAGCAATCGGTAGAATCAGGCCATCAGTGAATTCATTTATTCAATCAATAATTACGCATGGAATGCTTACAGTCTGCCTGGCACTGAGCCTGGTGCTGGGGACAGAAAAATGAGTTAGACAAGTGTCTGGGCATAGTCAAGAGGGAGAGAGAGAGATTGTGCTGAACCCACAGCACACTGTGAACGCCCAAAGAAGGGCTCCTCAGCTGCTTCCTGAAAAAAGCCAAAGCAAACTCAGGAAACTGCTGTGTAATTAGAAGGAAAGCAGCCAGGCATATGGAAATCACAGACTTGGAGAAACACTGGTGATTTTAGGCAACCGCCACATGGAAAACTCAAAGTTCCTGAACTACTCTTCTGGTGTTAAGGGGTTAAGGTAACCCACAGCACCAGTCTGCCCAGGACTGATCCAGTTCCCCAGAACTGAATTATGACTTTATGGGTCCTAGGCGCTTTTGCCTTCAGGGTCCCTTCTTATTCACACAGACATACACACACACACAAATTTAAAATTGTATCTTATGACTATGTTAGTATGAATATAATCCTGGCTGGCTTCATTATTATTATTATTATATCAATATTTTTCTTGTGATTGAAAGAAATTAAAATTAGAATGCTTTTGTGGATCATAAATATATTGGGGGCCTTTGTGTGCCTTAGTTAGCTCTGGGTCTTCCTGAAAGTGGGACTTTCAGTTTTCAAACCAGAAAAGTCCTGGACAAACCTGGATGGCTGGTCACCCTAGGTGGGGTATTATGTCCTTTCCAGTGTCCATCTCACCCAGACTGTGTAGTATGGACCATAGGAGGGGCATTCAAGCTCAAGTCAGAAGCAAGTTTTAGGTCCATCTTTATCACGTTCAACGTCTGAGAATGAACCACTTAACCTCCCTGCAAAATGAGGCTATTGAAACCTGCCATCTACTTCCTAAGTTGCTGCGATGATCAAATGAATAATGTACATAAAAAACTACTTTGTTAAACTATCAATGCTATTGGACTTAAGGCAGTATTATTGGACAGCTGTCTATAGCTATAATTTGGGGTTCTAAAAGCCCCCACCTCCTATCCTCTAATGTGAAAGTATTTCCTGCAACAACTTGCCATAGGACCTGAAGTAGGAAAGACACACTGCTTTGGGTCAACGTATTATTTTCCTTGGGGTCTGTTTCTGGAATGTCAGTAGCACTGCAGAAGATCAGAGGTGGAGGCTGTAAGTGTCCAGATCAGGTTCCCCTCACCAGTCTGAAGCTTGGCAGCTACAGGCTCATGACTGCACCTTCCTTGAGGATTTGCCCTTCGCTGTTAGGCCTGACTGGTTTCACAACCTCCCCACTCACTACAACCTGCTGACTGACTCGGGATAAAAAAGGTCAGTCCCTTGCCTCAAGATAGAATCACTTCTATCCAGTGACTCGCACTTCAGAGCTGGGATCCGGCTGTAGTTCAACCAGCAGAGAGCACATCCTTGCTCACTTCCTTCGCTGGCCTCCCCCTGCCTCACTCCCTTCTCCTGAAAGCACAGCCTCAATAAGCCACAAGCACCCAAATGCCTCTCAGAAACGGCTTCTGGGAAACCTGACCTAAGATGTGGATTAAGAACCAATGTATTCATCATGACCATTACCTTCACAGGGACCCGCAGCTGTTTGCTGCATGAATAACCAAGAGTCTGAAGATCTTAGTGGAGTTAGAAAGAACTGCATCTAAGTGATGCTGTTTACTGACTGTGTCACCTTAGGTATGTTATTAGCTCAGGTCTCTTATTTGCATCATGAGGTGAAATAGGAACATTATGAGGTTCAAATATTACTAGATAACATATGTAAAGTGTCTAATTATTGCCCAGCACACAGTAGGTGCTCAGTAAGTTTTAACTCCATACTCTATCACCTTGACAAGCAGAGAGCAAAGACATAGGAGACGTATGGTTGGATGTGGGAAGGGATGGGACAGACTTGAACTTGGGCAGCTGAGCACACCGGGAGTGTCAGGGATCCCCTGGCTGGCTGTGTTTGGAGGCTGCATAGATAAACTCTGGCAAAATGAAGGTAAAGAAATACCTAAAGGCAAACTTAAAGCTCAACTAGTGACTATTTTGCCTCTGTCTGGCAGTGTGTCTCAGGACTTTTGGCTAGCCTCTTTCCTGTTTCTAAATGGGCTCTGATATATTTTTTTTTCTCTTAGCCGATAAAGACCTGGAGAGTTCTCAGCTGATTGCACTGGAATTCTCAGGTGGTCAAAATGCTGAATGCATAATTAATGATACATCTGCAGAGACAGTAAATGCAATTGTGAGACAAAAGACAGGGTATATGGAGAAAGAGTATTTTACAATTATCTGCTTATTTTTCTGTACCTCCCAAGAGACTGTTTCCAGTGGGAAAGGCCTAAATCTTTTCTTTCTATTCCCAGCATCTGGGAGAGAGTAGGTGCTCCCTGGGTGCTTGTTATTGGCCAAGTCACGTTCCTCCAAAATTCGTATGTTGAAGTTTCCACCGCTAGTATCTCAGCAGGTGACTATATTTGGAGACAGGGCCTTTAAAGAGGTGATTAAGTTAAAACGAGGCTCTTGTTCTGTTCTTGACACCACATATCTACAACTATCTGATCTTTGACAAACCTGAGAAAAACAAGCAATGGCGAAAGGATTCCCTATTTAATAAATGGTGCTGGGAAAACTGGCTAGCCATATGTAGAAAGCTGAAACTGGATCCCTTCCTTACACCTTATACAAAAATTAATTCAAGATGGATTAAAGACTTAATCATTACACCCAAAACATTACACCCAAAACCATAAAAACCCTAGAAGAAAACCTAGGCATTACCATTCAGGACATAGGCATGGGCAAGGACTTCATGTCTAAAACACCAAAAGCAATGGCAACAAAAGCCAAAATTGACAAATGGGATCTAATTAAACTAAACAGCTTCTGCACAGCAAAAGAA
Organism: Homo sapiens; assembly: GCF_000001405.40. Lineage (NCBI taxonomy): Eukaryota > Metazoa > Chordata > Mammalia > Primates > Hominidae > Homo > Homo sapiens. The sequence continues at coordinate 77,552,666 of NC_000013.11, read as the reverse complement.
ACTACCATCAGAGTGAACAGGGAACCTACAGAATGGGAGAAAATTTTCACAACCTACTCATCTGACAAAGGGCTAATATCCAGAATCTACAATGAACTCAAACAAATTTACAAGAAAAAACAAACAACCCCATCAAAAAGTGGGCGAAGGACATGAACAGACACTTCTCAAAAGAAGACATTTATGCAGCCAAAAAACACATGAAAAAATGCTCACTATCACTGGCCATCAGAGAAATGCAAATCAAAACCACAATGAGATACCATCTCACACCAGTTAGAATGGCAATCATTAAAAAGTCAGGAAACAACAGGTCCTGGAGAGGATGTGGAGAAATAGGAACACTTTTACACTGTTGGTGGGACTGTAAACTAGTTCAACCATTGTGGAAGTCAGTGTGGCGATTCCTCAGGGATCTAGAACTAGAAATACCATTTGACCCAGCCATCCCATTACTGGGTATATACCCAAAGGACTATAAATCATGCTGCTATAAAGACACATGCACACGTATGTTTATGGCGGCACTGTTCACAATAACAAAGACTTGGAGCCAACCCAAATGTCCAACAATGATAGACTGGATTAAGAAAATATGGCACATATACACCATGGAATACTATGCAGCCATAAAAAATGATGAGTTCATGTCCTTTGTAGGGACATGGATGAAATTGGAAATCATCATTCTCAGTAAACTATCGTAAGAACAAAAAACCAAACACCGCATATTCTCACTCATAGATGGGAATTGAACAATGAGAACACATGGACACAGGAAGGGGAACATCACACTCTGGGGACTGTTGTGGGGTGGGGGGAGGGGGGAGGGATAGCTTTAGGAGATATATCTAAAGCTAAATGATGAGTTAATGGGTGCAGCACACCAGCATGGCACATGTATACATATGTAACTAACCTGCACATTGTGCACATGTACCCTAAAACTTAAAGTATAATAATAATAAAACAAACAAACAAACAAACAAAAAAACGAGGCCCTTAGGGTGGGTACTAATTCAACCTGACTGGTGACCTTGTAAGAAGAGAAAATTTCGAAACACAAAGAGACACCAGAGGAAAGGCCATGTGAGGACACAGTAAGAAGGTGGCCATCTGCAGGCCAAGGAGAGAGGCCTCAGGAGTAATCCAAATCTGCCCAGCCCCCACAACTGTGAGACAATGATTTTCTGTTATTTAAGTCACCCGTCTGTGGTATTTTGTTATAACAGCCTGAGCAAACTATGGAGTCCTTATGAAAAAAGTAATTTGAAGAGTTATAAAATAGGCAAGTCATTCAAAGAGCTTTGGTCTACACTGCCCTTGATCTGTGCCCTCTTTGAATGGTCTATTGCACAGGGCAATTGCTAATAGAATAAAGATCCACTGGTTGAGCCCCCGCCCTGAACAGGGGACCTCTCAGGCATTGTCTCTCATTTTTCACATAAACTCTGTGGGGTGGCTGTTGGTCCCTCCAACTCCCAGATGAGACTACCGGAGCTCAGAGAGAGGATGCAACATGTCCAAGGTGTTAAGAGGCTGCATCGGGCTTCTAAACCAAGCCACGCCCTCCTCAGCAAACAGCACTAATGCCCATCAGGAGTCACTGCAAGACTAGGCTGCTGCCCTGGTGTTAAAGCGAGAGTGGGAACGTGGATGCAGGGGTTTGCCTGGCCCTGAGCATCTCACTCCTTGGAAGTCCCATGAGCTCTGGTCAAGTGCTTGGTACCAGGGCAGCCTCTCAATGAACTGCTGCAGCAAACAAACCTTCACAGGACAGCCTTCTCTGTGTATTCCCCAACATTCCTTTGGTTAAAAACATGTCCACACAAAAACTTATACATGAATGGTCATGGTAGCACATAACAGCCAAAAAGTAGAAACAACCCCAATGTCCATCAGTGGATGAATGGATACACAGCATGGCATCTCTGTGCAACAGAATATTACTCAGCATAAAAAGGAATGAAAATACTGATTCATCTTACAATGTGGATGAAACTTGAAACATTAAGTTAAATGAAAGAAGCCAGACACGGAAGAGGACACATTGTATGATTCCATTGATATGAAATGTACAGAACAGTCACATCCATAGAAAAGAAAGTGGATTAGTGTTTTCCAGGGGTTAAGGGGAGAGGTGAATGAAGAGTGACTGCTAAAGGGAATGGGGTTTCTTTTTGGGGTAAAATTAAAATACTCCGGAATCAGATAGTGGTGATGGTTGCACAACCTTGGAGATATATATATATAATATATATATATATATATATATATATTTTAGACAAAGTCTCATTCTGTCACCCAGTCTGTAGTGCTGTTGCATGATCTTGCCGCACTGCAACCTCTGCCTCCTGGGTTCAAGTAATTCTCGTGCCTCAGCCTCCTGAGTAGCTTGGACTACAGGTGTGTGCCACCACATCTGGCTAATTTTTTTATTTTTAGTAGACACGCAGTTTTGCCATGTTGGCCAGGCTGTTCTCAAACTCCTGGCCTCAAGCCATCCACCTGCCTCAGCCTCCCGAAGTACTGGGATTACAGATGTGAGCCACCACACCCAGCTGTGAATATATTTTTTAAAAAGCACTGAATTTTACACTTTAAAATGGTGAATTTTATGGCATGTAAATTATATCTCAACTAAAAAAAAAAAAAAAACTGGCAGCAGGCCAGGCCATCTTTGAGCTGGAGAGGCAGAAAAGACACTCTTATATGGCCCGTGCGGTTTTGCCAGAATAAAATGGAATCAGATTATATTTCACAAGATTATCCCAGTCCCATCCTCATGGGCACCTCCACACACTGCTAACAATTGAGCTCTCCCTGGTATGCATCTGTATCAACTCCTAAATGTTAAACTGGTGTCTTGAGTGACCCGTGGATCATTCATAATTGTGGCCTGAAAATATGCTCTCTGACCCTGAACTATGCAAGCAGCTGTTAAACTTATACAATAAAGACAAGCAGGCCTAGGCTTCTGTGGAACTCACAAACAGAAGCCACGTAAATAATATAAACACACATACTCAGGAACATCCTAGTTTAAAACTTTCTGTCTTCTGATCGGATCCTAGTTCCCATTTGTGGTTTGAAAAGAGTCACACTATTGTACAGGAAAGCAGAATGAGAGTTGCAAGGATAAAGTCAATCACAGGCAAGAGAATGTCTATGTGAACTAACAATGGGGTATAGCAGATTATGTGACAATAAGAGAATGTGATATTCTACCACGTTACCAAAACATGTAACCATTGGGTAGTGTGTTCTCTGTTATTTCAATTGAGCACCTGCTATTTTAAAATATATATTATATATAAAGACATACAAATGGCTAACAGGTAAAATGCTCAACACCACTAATCATCAAAGAAATGCAAGTCAAAACCAAATGAGATACCATCTTACTTCAGTTAGAATGACTATTATTAAGAAGACAAAAATGACAGATGCTGGTGAGGATGCAGAGAAAAGAGAACTCTCATACACTGTTGGTGGGAATATAAATTAGTACAACCTCTATGGAAAAGAGTATGAACATTTCTCAAAAAACTAAAAGTAGAACTACCATATGATCTGGTAATTCCATTGCTAGGTATCTATCCCAAGGAAAAGAAATCAGTATATTAAAGGGATACCTGCATCACATGTTTATTGCAGCACTATTCACAATAACAAAGATATTGAATCAACCTAAGTGTCCATCAACAGACAAATGGATAAAGAAAAAAGGGTATATATGCACAATGGAACTATACACCCTGCTCATAAAGACATACCCAAGACTGGGTAATTTATAAAGGAAAGAGGTTTAATTGGATCACAGTTCCACATGTCTGGGGAGACCTCACAATGATGGCAGAAGGCAAATGACAAGCAAAGTCACATCTTACATGAGGGCAGACAAGAGAGCATGTGCAGGGGAACTGCCCTTCATAAAGCCATCAGATCCCATGAGATTTATTCACTATCTTGAGAACAGTATGGAAAAAAACCGTGCCTCCATGATTAAATTACCTCCCACCAGGTCCCTCCCACGACACGTGGGAATTCTTACAACTCAAGGTGAGATTTGGTTGGGGACACAGAGACAAACCATATCAGAGAGTTAAAGATGCACGCTGATGTTTATACAGACTTCCTGCCCATCTTAATGTCAACACCCTTCTTTTCCCCATTAGATCTTATCCTTAGCTTCCCTTTATGCTCCAGAACTTTCCATGTCCCTCAAACTGTCAAAAACCATCTGACCCTCCTTGCCTCAGGATCTTTCTCTCTACTAGCCAATCTGAAGTAAAATATGCCTGAACAGGTGACATCTTAATGTGTTAGCAGTGGCATAGGCAGAAAAATGATTGACAGCCCTTGGGCTAAAAAGCCCCAGATTGTGTGTGTCCCCAGCTTCGTCACTCATTAGCTACTTGGACTAAGTCTCTGCTTCTGCCTCTGCAAAGAGGAAGTTATAGCAATCTTAAAAGGTTGTTATGGAAATTAAATGAGATAATGCTTTGTAAATTATAAATTCCTATAAAATCATATAAAGTATTATTATTGTTTGAACTTTCCTCCCTTCCTAGCAGACCCTAAAGGGGCAGCAGAAGCCTAGGTCAGAGGAGGACTGAGGTGGGATATGGGTAGAATACCAAAGAAAATTTAAAACACAGCAACCATCTGGGGTTTTGGCCAGAGAGCTATATACTAAGGAAGAGGCAACTGGGAAGTCCCAGGGAAAGAAAGTGGGTTTACTGGAAACTGTTCCTAGGGAGCATCCCAGAGGTTCTGGGATGAAGCCAGTGGGGGTGTTTATAGGATACCTGAGGCTAGTCATTAACAGAGAGAAAGAGGGTAAGTTCCATGAGCTTGTTCAAATGTCTTATTTCACTTGTTCTCATTTAACCAGGCCTTCTGGAGAATACCTAGCTAACAAAGGCATGAAAATATCAGACCCTATGGCAGAATGTTGGGTCTGATTGGAGCTATCCCTAAATATAAAATGATGAAGAGATACCTGTTTTCCTCTACAGAGCTCTTTGCAGGAATTTCTGATGATCTGAGAGTTGATCAAGACCTCAGCCATCCCAGCATGGTACCTAACCCTGGGTGCAAACTTCCAGATGGGCAGAGGATGAGAGAGTGAGGGATGGAGGGCAGTGGCACTGAGTTAATTGCATAGGGTCTGCTTGCAAATCCTTCTGCACTCAGCATCAAAGCATTTTTATACCAAATCCATCATACCTTTTTGTCAACCAGTAAATTACTGAAAATATAATTAGTCTCATATGTGAAACATCATGAATTTTTTTATTTTAAAAAAAGAATTTTCATTCTTAAAGCAGTTAGTAATCATCACTATAGATTTCAGGGTAAATCTAAATTTTACTTTAAGAATTCCTCCGGAATGCCACGCCTCTCTCTTTTAAATTACAAATGTTACTCACATTTTTTAAAATGTTTAAGATTTATCTTAAATTTTTGGGGGGCTGGGTGTGGTATGTTCCAATGGGAGAGGACAATAAGGAAAGGTCCAGTCATGATGATCTGGAGATTTCCAAGTAGGGACTCATGGCAGACAATGATTGCATATCTGATATCCATTCTCCCCTTCTTTCTTACTGATATCTAAAGCCACATTTCTCAGGCTCTCTGAAGCTAGCAGTGACACATTTGTAGTTCTGACTATTACAATTGAAGTGGAAGTCCCTGGGAAGAATATGTCCTTTTGTGCTCCCCCACTCTTTTCTGAAACTAAGGTGGCTTGCAGGAGGGAGGAGCAGTCCTCTTGGACCTTAGTGACTGTGGGCAATCATAGGGACTAAATTCACACACGAAAAATAGCAGAGCAGGAAGTTAGAAGGGACCCGGTTCCTTGACAGTGTCATGGAGTTGCCACAATAGCCCTGTATTATCTACCTCTGAACTTCTCCTTCCAAGAGAAAAATAAACCGCCTCGTTTGTTTAAGAGATTTCTTTTCCTTTTTTTTTTTTTGTTGTTGTTGTTACTCAAGCCTTATGCTCTTCCTCCATGTCACTAAGCCATCGTGCAGCAAATAGAAGGTCCAAAAGTTGACAGGAGTCTACAAAAGATATGTGTGATTCTTTTATCAACAAAACATATGTGTTAAATGTTCCTAGCAAGAAGGATCACTTGTTAAGCCCCTACCAAGTACCACCGGCTGTACCACATGTTTTATGCACATTATCTTATTTAATCCTTCCAGGCCAGTACTATTATCTATAATTATGGGATCCCAAACCTCAGAGAGCTTAAATAACCTGCCCAAAGTACACAGTTAGAGGAAGAATCAGAAACTGCAGTTAGGTCTGTGTGACTGCAACACCAGAGCTCTTTTCAGTAAGTGATACTACATGTAACTCAAAGTGCCATGTGATATGACCCATACCAGGCACTCAGAGAAATGCCTGGAGTCCCAGATGATTGATGATCATGGGAGAGCAGGTGAGAGGAGCAGCAGGAATGAATGGCTGCCCCAACATTTCCTGATAGCTCAGCCTCAAAACTCACTCCCCAATGAACACACTGCAGCCAGAAGTGGCCTGAAGTGGCCTGACATGGTTCCTGACTGGACTCCTTCCCTGAATCTATCTCATACTGGATAGCTTGATAACGTTTCATTTTCTCTCGTAGTCCAGTGCTGGCCATTGATCAAGCTAACTGAGAAAGGAAACTATAATGTATTCTATTTACAGGTGATAATAGTTTCATAAGGATGCTGGGTTTTTCTTCTGAAATATAAATGAGCAATACTGTGGGAAATTAAATTTTTCTTATCAAAGATGCAAGCTGCCAAATCAGTGAAGGCCCCTGCCAGATGGCCCAAGCCAGAGAAAGTCTGCTCTTGAGTCTTTCTTTCCCTTTTGGCATCTCTCCTACATCTTTCACACAACCTCTTCCAGCCTCGCTGCTCTCTTCTTCTCTTAGGACCCATTGTCCATGTCACCCAAATCATCTCCTAATGCCCCCTCTTTGGGTGGCCCCAGAGCCATTTCTAGAAGCTTCCATGTAAAGCCTCTAAGGTGTAAACATTCCTGTCTCATCGACCTCTACTTCCGCAGACATTTTACTGCAGTAGTGTTCTTTCCATCTTCCCCAGGATATAAAACAGTACTTTATATATACATGGATATTTCTTTTTAGAAATAGTTCAACAATATATGTTTCTGTGAATAATATCCTTGTTAAAAATGCCCTTTTGTGGAATGGATTAGGGATTACTAGTCTCTCAAACTGGTAGTATTAAAAAAAATGCAGCCAAATTTTATTGTTTTGTAATTCTTTAAAGGAATTACTTATTTCAGGTACTGAGGTTATCCTGAGCTTCAAATCTACTCAACACCCACATATTGACACTTTGGTAGCCTCAGTTCAGCTAACTGGATTTATTTCTAAGTGCCACGTTTCAGTTTCATTCCAATTAAGTTTTTAGCTTCTCACAAAAAAGATGAAACTCTAATCTTGGCTTTTCAAAAGGCTGTTGCCAGTACATATGCCTACTGATTACAGACACCAGCAACTGTGTTTTAGAAGTGTAATATTATGACAAAAGATGTGTGAACGCTGTCTCTCTTATGCTGGGAAGTAGAAAAACCTTTACCTATGAAGCACTGAATGCATGTGTTGAAAATTATGATGTAAAATCATAACGTCAAAGTCTGAGGAGAGAGGGAAAAAATATTTTCAATTATTGGCCCATCTTTCATTTCCTCTTTGTGGCCAAACACCAGAAAGAGCTAGTTTTTATCTGCTGCCTACTGCTTCTGCCCAAGGACATTTGTCTTTAGGTTTTACATGAAATCACTCTGCTAAAGTTCTGAATCATGAAATCAATCAACTTTCGTAGCTCTTTTTGTATGCATTTGAAACTATCAGCATCTCCTATTTCTTACTTTTGTCTTCTTTTCAGCTTCTCCTCATCTCCCCATGCCCTTACTCAATTTCCTTCAGTATTTTCTATCTCTAATAACAGCACTTCCTCTGGGAGCATTTAGGTCCATTAGGTGACCCAATTGCCACTCCTCCCACCAGCCCAATCTGAGCCCCAGCTCCTCTTGTCCCAATGCCAAGAATTCCCTGAGCCAACTTTCACTTCAGTCCCCCAGCCTGATCTCAGCCCCAGCTCTTCCTGTCCCAGTGCCAAGAATTTCCTGGGCCAGTTCCCAGCTCAGCTAGAATCTTCATCATCTTTTGGGTCCTCTCAGCATAAAGACTTTAAAAATCTCACTCTTCCCTTCCCACCCAAGGACATAATGCCTCTTGGCTTACCTCACGAAGTCTTTACCACTCCCTGCTAACTTTCTCTTAAGAAAGATTGTGTGAACAAAGAAACTAAAATTGGTTAAAGAAGGGCTCATAGAGGAAAGAGAAAAGGAGAAATAAGGCAGAAAAGAAAAAAAGATGTGCAGCAGAAAGTAAATTAACACAATAAAGGATGATGGAAGAAAAGAGAAAAAAACAAGGACTTCAATTCTGACTGCTGAGATTTGGGGTCCTACAATAATAATAACTATTTTGAGCTTATATTTTATAGGTGTTGTCTCATTTAAGCCTTACATGCCTTTAGGTTGTTACTATTATTATACTTGTTCTTTAATGAAACTTAATGATGAATGGTTTCAGTGAAGTCAGAGTCTTCTTGCGGAAGGATAGGGCAGGAGTTGGAAATGTGGGCAGTGGTCGAAATGTAGGCAGATTTCTTTTCTGGAAGGAGTCTCAAGATGAGTAGTTTGCCTGAGGTTACATAACTAGTGAATCGCCCAGTTGGGATTCAAACTCAAATCAGCCTGACGCACAGTACCTATCTCAGAAGCCCGGGAAACAAAAAGGAGTCAACAGGAAGAAATTTACTCGACTAAAAAGTGGTAAATAAAAAAAGAACGAAATCATGTTCTTTGCAGCAACATGGATGCAGCTGGAGGTCATTATCCTAAGCGAATTAATGCAGAAACAGAAAACCAAATACCAAGTGTTTCCCCTTATAAGTGGGAACTAAACATTGGGTACTCATGGACATAAAGATGGCAACAATGGAGATCCATGGTGGAGCTCAACAGAGAAGAATTGGAGCAGACTTTCTTTGATCATTTTACCAAAGTATCATGAGATTTACATAGAGTGACATTTGGATATTTTAACTACCCCAAAATCTTTCAATCAATTTATCAAGCTTCTAATATATTTTTATAAATTACTATCTTTATAAAAGACCAAATGTCAATAGTTGCCCAGGGCAAATCTCTTTAGTGATGGAGAATATAAAAAAGCTAAAGTTGGCCGGGCGCGGTGGCTCACGCCTGTAGTCCCAGCACTTTGGGAGGCCGAGGCGGGCGGATCACGAGGTCAGGAGATCGAGACCATCCCGGCTAAAACGGTGAAACCCCGTCTCTACTAAAAATACAAAAAATTAGCCGGGCGTGGTGGTGGGCGCCTGTAGTCCCAGCTACTTGGGAGGCTGAGGCAGGAGAATGGCGTGAACCCGGGAGGCGGAGCTTGCAGTGAGCCGAGATCCCGCCACTGCACTCCAGCCTGGGCAACAGAGCGAGACTCCGTCTCAAAAAAAAAAAAAAAAAAAGCTAAAGTAGAATAAATAAACAAATACAGAAAAGGGGTCTAGAAAATGACACAGGGTGGCAAATTGCCCTGGTGGTATTCACTTTTGCTTCTGAAAAAGTCCTGAGGGTTTCAGGGTGCGGTAACAGTGCCAACCCCACCACTACTTGTTTCCCGGAAATCAATGAAACAGGGAAAATCCCTAGGAACTGGAAAAGGACAAATGCCATAAAACCATTTTCAGTAGAAGAATAAGAGGGGCTCTATAATTACAGATCAATAAACAGAAGAATTATCTTTTGGAAGATAAATAAAACAAACCATCAAACAACTAATTACCACCTAAAAGTACAAGAAATATATGTAAGGGGAAAACAAACAGTACTTCATGAAGTGTAAATATTAACAAGTCTATTTAAATCCATTTTTAAATAGTCTCTCAGAAACAAACAACTGTGTTTAGCCTGAATACACAGCCTAAAAGGAAATCCAAAAATCATCAGGCTGGGAAAGATTCATTTAGCCTTCTGTGATGGTTAGAAAGCAGCTATTTCTTCAGTCACACAACCTCACAATCTAAGCTTAGCATTGGGAAACTTGTTTACTGCTGGTGAAACAAGAGTCCAGAATGTAGCACAAATGAAAGCCCCTACCATACAATTTTCTCACTGTTGATTCTGGGGTTTGTTTGTTTGTTTGTTTGTTGAGACGGAATCTTGCTCTGTAGCCCAGGCTGGAGTGCAATGGCGTGATCTCGGCCACTGCAACCTCCACCTCCCGGGTTCAAGCTATTCTCCTGCCTCAGCCTCCTGAGTAGCTGGGATTACAGGCACGCACCACCATGCCTCTCTAATTTTTGTATTTTTAGTAGAGACGGGGTTTCACCATGTTGGTCAGGCTGGTCTCTAACTCCTGACCTCGTGATCCGCCTGCCTCGGCCTGATTCTGGTTTTTAATACACAACCCTCACCAGCTCTTTTTCTTACAGCCCATCTTTTCTGCAGAATGATAACAGCAAGCTTTAACATGAATAGTGGCCTATAATTATTTCATTTTACAAAAAACACTGGTCTAATATTCATTAATAAAAAAGCTATCCAATAAAAGTTATCTATCACCTGAGCCCCATCAGGGGCTATTTTCAGTTCTAGCTGAAAATACAAGTTAAATGAGTAAAAACTCAAATTTTGACCACAGACTATGAGCCAAAACCCTGTTAGTTATCTTAAATACTTTACTGTATTTCATATTCACAAAAGCTCTGTCATGTAGCTGTTCTGTATCCCAATTTTACACAACATAAATCTTTCTCACTATATTTAGAACATATGTGGAAATACAAGAAAGCATATATAAAATGTGGAAAATACAAGAAAGCATAAAGAAAGGAAAAAAAAATCAGACACCTTTAATCAATCACTGTAATTTTCTTCCAGGGTTTTTCTTTGCCCATTTAGAGCCTACTGATATGCATTTTCCAATGCCATTTAAGAATATTTAAATATTTATTTTGCAGCTACAAAATATCTCATTTTATTTATCAATGTAACATCATTCCTCTGTTGTTTCTAAAAAACCATACAAAAGTCTTTCACCAAGTATCTGATTATTTTCTTTGAATGAATCCGAGAAGTGAAATTACTTGCCAAGATGTATAATTTCTAAAATATTCTTGATCCCTATTGTCGAGTTTCTTTCCGTAAATCTTATAGTAGTTTATCATCCACCAGCAACATATGAGTGTTCACTCATTTGCCAGCATTTAGAATTATCATTCATTAATCTTTTTAATAATATAATAGGTGAAAGTAGAATCATTTTGTTTTACTCGCATATTTTTCTTCACTTTACAGGGCATTTTCTTTCTTATTTTATAAATTATCCATTGACAATTATTATATATTTCTTACTGATTTCTCATTTTCTTTATATGTCAGGAACATTCATCTTTACTAGTTTTTCATTTAGCTTCTAATTATAAATTTTGTATCAGAAGCTTTTGATTTTGCATTCCCTATTTTTCCCTTTATAATTTCTTCCACTTTCACTCTTTAAAAGCCATCTTTGTAGACCATCCATCAATCTTCTTTCTGACCTTGAAATCCAAGCAATCGTCAAGTCCTATAATTCAACATCTCTTGTGTATCTTTCTATTTGCAAGACACCAATTCAAACTACCATAATCTCCTGACTATTCCAACGGCTTCCCAGCTACATTCTCAATCTCCAGACTTCCTCACTTAATCCACTCTCCTCCTCACTGGTGCCAAAGTAGTCATCACCTACTTAAAGTCGTTCAAGGGTGTTCCCTTTCTGTCAGGATAAAATCGAACTGATAACAAGGCTGACAAGGCCATACCCTCCAGCCTCATTTCCCCCAACTCCCCACTTCCCACTCACACTCTGGCTTCAGCCACAGCAACTCCTTCCAGTGCCTGGGGCTCCATCCTTTTCATCACCTGTGAGCTATTGCTTATTCTATCTATGCCTGAAACACTCTTCTTCCTGAACTTCCCTCAACCCCTCATTTTCCTTCAGGAAAGACTTCCATTCACCTTCCAGATCACACATTCTATATCCTCCAGGAATCACTCTGTGATACCATCGCCACTTGCCCCACTCCTTCCTCCCCAGGCTGAGTTATGAGCCCTACTATGTGTTCAAATAGCAAAGAGTTTCCATAACATCACCTAAGACTGTGTGTATGGCTGAATAATCTTCCCCCACCCCCAACCCACAAGTATACACACATACTCACACCCGCACACATTCACACATTGTACATCTTAAGAGCAGTGGCCAAGCCCATCTTCTCCACAGCTGATTTTCAAAACTTATCACAGTACCTGGTACATAATCAGTTCTAGAGGAATATTTGTTGAACAAACATGAGGTTAACTAAATATTTATTTTTCTTTTAATTTTTACAATATATTTTGTTGTTTTATGTAATCTCTCTAATCCATGTGGATTTACTTTGGTAATGGGAGAATAAATCCCTTTCTCGTTGATATATGATACGTCCTTTGTCACACTTTAAATTCTTACATATTCTTAAATGTGCTTTGTGGCTATCCGTTTTCCTCAAGAAAACTGTCTTTAGTTTCTTACAATAAAAACAAGCTACTTTTATTATTGTGTTTTTCTGATACATACATTTTTAATATCTAGTAGCACAGCACCCTTCATTAACTTCCTTTTTAGAAATTCTATCAGCTATTCTCATTTATTCCTTTCTTTCAGATAACTTTAAAATTATTGTCTAAGTTTCAGCCAGGCGCAGTGGCTCACGCCTGTAATCCCAGCACTTTGGGAGGCAGAGGCGGGCAGACCACGTGATCAGGAGATCGAGACCATCCTGGCTAACACTGTGAAACCTCATCTCTACTAAAAATACAAAAAATCAGCTGGGCGTGGTGGTGGGCGCCTGTAGTCCCAGCTATTCGGGAGGCTGAGGCAGAATGATGTGAACCCGGGAGGCGGAGCTTGCAGTGAGCCGAGATAGAGCCACTGCAGTCCAGCCTGGGTGAAAGAGCGAGACTCTGTCTCAAAAAAAAAAAAAATTATTTTCTAAGTTTCCAAGATAAATATTCTATTGGAACTTTTGACTAAAATTGCATAGATTCTATAAAAAGAGTTTGGGAAGAACTGACATTTAAGGTCCGCTTTCACCTTTATGTCTTACTATAAAATGTTGTTATTTTTTAAATCTAGATTTTAAATTTTTCTTGTAGAGATTTTTTCTAGATTTTTATATTTTTGTGCTATTGTGAGTCATATTTTATACATATATGTCCCATTATGTAATATGCTATGTATATTATAAAATATGTATATAATATATAATTACATAATTTTATATGTCTATTAATTATTCATCAAGAATCCTAATTTTTCTTTTTATCTGCTGGTGCTGTGAGTTAGGCATACTCATACATGTCACCGTTTGTCCACATGGAATCATGGTTCAAATTCAAGTCTATCTAGATTTCAGCTCACTGCATGCATTTGTATATAAATTTCTTTTAAACTTTTACACACAGCATCTCTAATGACAAAAGAGGGAACCCTGGGGAGAACTGGGGAGAGGGCAGGGCAATAGGGATAGTTTTCTCCAAAGCTTTTTAACTAAAATTAGCTCTCCATACAGACATGTGCCATGCTTATTTCATAATTTTATTGCATTTTCTAGAACATTGACACAGTCTCCTGGGATGTATATATCTCAGTTTGGAAAATATGGCTTATAGTTCACTGTCTTTCCCCAGGAGGCTTCATATGAAGGATACGTAATCACATTTTAGAGTCAGGGAAACTTGGGTCTACAGACAAAGAATAAATTATTCAGATTTTTAGAGCTATCAAGTATACTATTACAAGGAGGATTCAGGATGATCAGTTCTTGTATCTAGAAGTAAACCAGTTGTCATTGAATAGGTAGCTATAAAATTCACTGTTCCAATTAAGTATCACAATAAAAGGATGACTCATGTCCTTAAAAAATTTAGTAATCGACATGAAATGAAAGTCTAGTACGTGTAGCTGTCATTTGGCAAAGCATCCATGTGAGGAAGAGCTTCTCCCGAGCTTCAAAATCACAAGTTCATGGAAAAAAATCACAGTTTACCATTTGTACAATGGTAAGCTGGAAACACTTAAGGAATATAACTGATAAAGACTTTTGATTAAGGCCGGGCGCATTGGCTATGCCTGTAATCCCAGCACTTTGGGAGACCAAGGCGGGTACATCACTTGAGGTCAGGAGTTCAAGACCAGCCTGGCCAACATGGTGAAACCCCGTCTATACTAAAAATAGAAAAATTAGTCGGGTGTGGTGGTGCACACGTGTACTCCCAGCTACTCAGGAAGCTGAGGCAGGAGAATCGCTGGAACATGGGAGGCGGAGGCTGCAGTAACCCGAGATTGTGCCATCGCACTCCAGACTGGGGAAAAGAGCGAGACTCCATTTAAAAAAAAAAAAAAAAAAAAGACTTTTGATTCAGAAGTGAGCTTTGAACAACTCCAGCTATGTATGCAGCAATTAATACCTAAAATCTTTATTTCAAAGTACCCAGCCAAAGAAAATGGAAAATGATCAACAAATGGTCTAGAAGCAGGACAATGACAGAAAGCGAAGCCATATGGAACCAATAAAGATTTCCCTTGGACTGCAAGGCCAAAGATTTTATCCCCTCACTCTTAAGAAATGCTGGGAGTTGATGCCTGAACCGTATAAGATACTCTCAGTTAAACAATGTTTGCTTAATTTGACGGCTTCGTGAATTGTGTTCAGTTCATTCCACAGTATGAGCTCAGTCATTCAAAATTTGTTTTGTTTACATAGTCCCCAGGAATATGAACCTCTCAGGTATTTCATCATAATTCTGGTAGTCTGAGAAGGCAGTCAGGTAAGCATCACCTACAGAATGGCATTCGAGGCAAGGGTGTTCTGATTGTACAGACCACAGCTAACACACATACATCAGATCCCCTCCCTGCTGAGGGGCTACTGGCTCCTGAGATGAAAATCTCATAAATATAATAAACGGCAACACTGATTCCATAAGCCACAAGTTGGAAAACGTATTCTATTATGTCTTAGTCATACCATACACACTATAATATTTCCACATGTGCTGGGTAACCACAGTCTGTGATGGAGTGTGGCTCATTTATTGCTACTACATATTTTATGATAAAAAGCATTTGAAAAAATATTGAGAAAATTCAGTAAGACAAAAGACAAGCAATCTGGCATCGTGCTCTGGTTCTGCTACTCTGATCTTCACAAGTTGCTTAACATTTATGCTTTGATTTTCTCAACTAGAAAATTCAGGCATTAGACTAGATGGGCCTATGCTCCGTTTCAGTTGAAATATTCTGTCAATTAGATCTAAGATTTATACGACGCTAACATTCCAATAAAAATTCTGGCCTGTTGTTGGCATTCTATGCATATCCCGACATTTAGGATCATCTGAATGTTTTACTAAAATTTTTACTGTTGTCATTTCTCAGTTTTCTCAAATTGATGTTTCCAATACTTTAAACACTGGAGCACCACATATATTAGGAAGGCTTTATCTACGTTATAAACTATGGAAGTGAAAGACAGTTTTAAATGTAATCACATTTTATGAAAAATAAAATTATCCACACTTGCTACACTTTAGTTTTCTGGTTACTATAAACACTTGAAAGCCAAGTTGTAAAATTCTTCTGTAAACCTTTGGGAAATGAGCACTGGTGTGTCTAACCCCCTCTCAGACTGCAGGTGACCTTGTCAGCAATAGGAAGCCATGAGAACTCAAGTACTACAGATAGAGCCAGGTATGCTGTGGGGGCACCTCTCTGGAGGACACAGAGCTGCAATTTGCAAGCTGTGAGTGGCCCCTGCATTTGAATCCCACAGCTCTGTATCATAAATAGAAATGATGAGAAAAAACACAAGTCAGCTTAGCTATTAATTATAAAAGAAAGCTCTGTTAAAAGAACTCTTCTAGCCTTATCAAAAGTCTCCCAAAACTGGTTTTTCAGGACTAGGCTATGAATAAAGTTTGAAAATTGCCCCCATATACATTAATCACTCCTTAGGTTAGAATGCAGAATATACCATAGAGAAGTTGGCCAGATGCCCACAGATCCCTGTGAGGAACCATGTACCCTTATTCTGCTCCCACACCCTGCCTTTACTCCTTGGTACTTTCAAGTGAGAAATGGTGATTTTCTTATTTGGGGAAGATAGGGTGGAGACAAAAACCTCATAAATATAAACCTCTCTCTCTCTCATAGCTCAGCAACTTGCAATATTTTTAGCAGTAGAGAAAAAAATAAATATGACTTATTAACTATAAAGCAATATTTGAGTTCACTATTTCACTAAAAGCATCATTTATGAAAACAGAAAGATCCTTTAAAAAATGTTTGTATAGTCGCTTGAGAAAATAAACCAGCAGGTGCTGGTCCCTTCACTTAAAGAATTTATTATCCTTTGTGTGGCAGGATTCACCAGCTGACAGCTCCCACCCAGAAAATCAAATAGGTGCTCGTTTCTGTGATGCCCATAACGTGTAAAATTGCCAAGAAGTTCAATGCAATGTGACCTAAAAGTACAGCAAGGAAGAGCAGAGCTAACAGCCAGCTGGAGGCTGTCAAAATTTACAGGAAGAAAAGACAAAGATAATACAGTAAGTTCTAATTTTAATCATTTGTAAGGAACACAGAGAAAGCTGTGCACATACAGCAGATGTATTTCTGTTTGCAAGTATAATTCAACTTACCTCTATTGAGCAGAAAATCAGGACTTTTTGGCTAACCAGCCTGTAGTGATTCCCTGGGAGGATCTGGCTGAAAGAAATGGGAACCTAGAGTTTATTCAGTGGAGTCTCAACCTCTACCTGACTGTATTAGTGAACAGTTCAGAGGTTTCTTGCTCAGCGGCTGAGTCACTCAGGGAGGAGGTGTGTGGTATGCAACAGGGTGTCACCTTGTACAAATACCAGTTCAATTAAAGCATTCTCACTCATATACCTACTGTCTTTGTTTGAATTCTTTGTTTAACTTATGGCCTTATGCAAAAAAAAAAAAAACATATATATATATATGCTCCTGTGATCACCCTTTTAACTGATATCAACAGTATGCACAACCATATCACTGACAAGGTGGCATAGGACCCAACCTATTTTGTATTCTCTTTCAAAAAATAAAATTGAAAACTCAAGATAGAAGGAACCCCCATACACCCATAGTACCTGGAAGGCAGGGGCACAGACAAGCATGCAAGGAGTATATGGCTTAAAGGAATCTTCAAGACAAACAAATTCTCAGAAACCCAGGAACCCTAGGATTAGAAAACACAAAAGAAGTCTGTTCCACACATTCTACACCTAGACTATTTTGTAAAACTATCAGAGGGAAAATACACCTAGCATGTAAGAATTCTAATCTCTATCTTATTTATCCATGTATAAAAAAATGTGAAAAGGGGCCAGGCGTGGTGGCTCACATCTGTAATCCCAGGACTTTGGGCGGTGGAAGCAGGCGGATCACCTGAGGTCAGCAGTTCAAGATCAGCCTGGCCAACATGGTAAAACCTGATCTCTACTAAAAATATAAAAATTAGCTGGGCGTGATGGCACACACCTGTAACCCCAGCTATATTAAATAACTATAACACACCATGATAAAGTCATATACAGAAATTTTCAATGCCAGGCATCGCATAGTGGAGAGAAGGAAGAACCTGGAAGGTGATGTTGATGCAGAGTTTTAAAGTCTGAGTGGACAATGATTAGATGGTCAAGAAGAAGAAGAACCATTCATCCACTCTGGCAGGAGGAGGCAGGAGAATCACTTGAACCAGGGAAGTGGAGGTTACAGTGAGCCAAGATCACACCACTGCACTCTAGCCTAGGCAACAGAGTGAGACTGTCTCAGAAAAAAAAAAAAAATGTGAAAAGGATGGTTGAAACTTCTTTCAATGCTGAGGGCAGCAGTAGACCCAACATCAAAGGCTGCTTCTGGCCAGTTGCAGTGGCTTTCACTTGCACTTTGGGAGGCCAAGGTGGGAGGATCACTTGAGCCAAGAAGTTCGAGACAAACTGGGCAACACAGTAAGAGAAGATCTCATCTCTACTAAAAATAAAAAAATCAGCTGGGTGTGGTAGTGCATGTCTTTGGTCCCAGTTACTCAGGAGGCTGAGGCAAAGAGAGTCTCTTGAGCATGGGAGGACCAAGCCACAGTGAGCTGTGATCACACCACCGCATTCCAGTATGGGTGACAGAGTGAGACCCTATCTCAAAAAACAAAACAAACAGACAAAAAAAACAAAAAAAACCCAACAAAAAACAAAGGCTGCTTCCGCTGGGAGGAAGGAGTAACACTGAAGAGCCATTCTAGGCGGGGACTCCTGTTACAGGTTTTGAAACACACCTTCCCTAAGAGCCAAAGAGGCTTTAAAGAAGCTTAGCAAACATTGTTGAGAGAAGCCACGTCATCAGAACTTCCTGGGTGATCGTCATTCATATGTCACACCAGCAATGAACCAAATCCCCCCTGAACAACTGCTCCTGAAAACTACAATGCAGCTGAGTGACGCCCACTGAAATGACTGTAACAAGAAGCAGAAACCCAGACTGAAGAGCAAGGCAATTGCAGTATGTGGTCATTGTGACTGGGAGACCACTTCCTGTATGTTCCCTGATGTTCCCTTATTCTGGGCTGAGGAATTTGAAAATCTAAAATGGAAAATGTTCTTTCAAAGTAAAACATATATACGTGTCTACTCAGCTTTTTTATGGAATTTTATACATGCAAAATATTTTTAAAATATGCTTTAAGTTTCTGTGATGCCCAAAAATCTTGGTTTGAATATTAATATTACAAATGATAAAGCTGAAAAACAAAGACGTGACTTAACTCAAAAGATAAACTAGAAGCAATCTTCAGCCTTAGAACTTAGCCAAAAAGAAAGAAAACAGTTTAAGAGCTCCCTTGTAGGGATAAGTTGTAATTTACATTACAGAATGTTGAAATATATTACTTCATGAAACACAGAACCAGAAAGATAAGTTTTTATCTTATAATGAAGTAAAGTGCAGCTACTCAAGTTATGGATTTTGAGCTTCCAAGCAATTATTTCTGCATGCAATTAAGGGTTTCTCTTACTTTATACATCAGACCATCCACACTGCTAAGCCAAACCAGTGTTTTTTCATTTAGAATCAAATCTCTAGTATAAAAAGGGACTAATTCTAAACCATTGAGCAAAATTCAGACCTCTTCATGCTGAGCAGACATGACTGCCTAAAATTTAAAATCTCAAATGTGAAGAGGTTGAATCAAGAACGTTTTCGGGTGTGGAGGTAGCCAAATAGCCTGAGCATTAGTTTCACTCAGGTGTTTAACTGGGAAGACTTGGGCATGCTTGGAATAACTTGGCTTCACCACACCTATTCACTTTCAGTGTTGGAGTTCTTAAGATCTCTCTAGAACTGTAAGCTCAGAAGCTGAAATGCCAAATGGGTTTTATCTCAGGTACAAATGCCAATTGATTGGTGATGGCTTCCTGGAGGAATATGTTGAGGTTTGTAAGCAAGTAGGGACTCAACAAGGGAATGTCCATGGTTAATTAGCAATATCCACCACAGGTCTTGAATGGGGGAATGTTTTCTGACCCTGTCTCATAAAATTAGATGTTGCAACATCACATTGCTTTGTCTATGTGTTATATCCAAAGAAACAACCAGCCAAAATGAGCACCGTTTTTTTGAGTTTAGGTTCACAGCAAAATTCAGAATAAACAACAAAGAGTTCATGTATACCCTCAGTGTCCCCATTACCAACATCCCACATCACAGTGGGACATTTGTTACAATTAATGAACCTGCATGGATGCATCACTAACACCCGAAGTCCATAGTTTACATCAGGGTTCATTCTTGGTTTTGTATATTCTTTGAGTTTGGAGAAATGCCTAATGACATGTATCCACCATTATAGTACCACACAGAGTAGTTTTGCTGCCCTAAAAAATCCTTTGTGTGCTGCCTAGTCATACCTCCCTCCCTGCAGCCCCTGTTAACCGCTGTTCTTTTTACTGTCTCCATAGTTTTGCCTTTCGCAGAATGTCGTATTGTTGGAATCATGTAGTATGTAGCATTTTCCAGACTGGCTTCTTTTACATAGTAATATGCATTGAAGTTTTCGTCATGTCTTTCCATTTAAGTTTTCTCCATGGCTTAATAGTTCATTTCTTTTGAGTGTTAAATAATATTCCAAGGCCAGGCATGGTAGGTCACACCCATAATCCCAGCACTTTGGGAAGCTGAGGTGGTAGGATTGCTTGAGGCCAGAAGTTCAAGACCAGCCTGGGCAACACACTAAGATCCTGACTTAAAAAAAAAATAAAATAAAATAACAGTAATAATAATATCCCTTTGTCTGGATGTACCACAGTTTATTTATTTATTCACTTCACCTACTGAAGGACATCTTTGTTGCTGCCAAGTTTCGGCAATTATAAATAAAGCTGGTATAAACATGCGTGTGCAGTTTTCTTTTTTGTATATTTATGCTATATTTTGAACCCAGTAATATATAACATTGTTTGGAAACTAAAAAGTATAAAATGGAATAAATGAAAAGTCTTCCTTTTCCTCCAAACCTTTCTCTCCAACAAAAAAAGCAGTTATTAGTTTCTTCTGGGTCTTTCCAGAGACATTTATGCATATACAAGCAAATGTAAGATATGGATATATTATACTGTTCTGAATATTGCTTATTTCCTTTAAGATTATATTCTGAAGATCTTGCTATATTGATTCTTCACAGTTGCTTGGTATTCCATGACATGGATAGTCCATAATCTATGTCATCAATCCACTGTTGATGGGCATTTCCATTATTTTCAAACTTCTGCTAACAATGCTGCCATCAATAACACTGTACATAAATCAGCTGGCACATGTGTGAATCTGTAGGATAAATTCTTAAAAATGTAATTGCTGGGCCCATGTGTTTGCACATTTTAACTTTGGTAGAGCAAATCTTGCCAAACTGCCCTCCGTAATGGATTTACCAACTTATCCTTCTTATTCTCATTTGTCTTCTTTCAATCATTTCTTCATTTAACAAGCATTAAGTACCCATAATTCTCTTAGTATTGCTTCTATCCCAAGGGAAAGGAAAATTAATGAGACCCAGTCTTGCTCACCAAGAATTTACAATTTGTTTGGAGGGACAGACATTGAATTAAATAGCTATAACACACCATGATAAAGTCATACACAGAAATTTTCAATGCCAGACATCACATACTGGAGAGAAGGAAGAACCTGGGAGGTGATTTTGATGCAGAGTTTTAAAGTCTGAGAGGACAATGATTAGATGGTCAAGAAGAAGAAGAACCATTCATCCACTCTGTCATCTTCTTAATGTCTTCCACATTTCCCCTTAATAGTGAACAATTCTGCAACTTTCCTGCCTCATTTCCTCTACCAAAATAGCAACTTGGCAGCCCCAGCAACCCCAGCTCCTCAGGGTGTTATGGGTCCACATTTTCTGGAGACAATCATGAGCCACACTGCAAATATAGTGTAATTCTCCTGGCTGCAGTCTGAAATAAACCATTCCATGGGGATTAGAAGTAAGAATTTTTTTTCTCCCATTGAAAAAATAAGAATGGCCAATTTTTGTAATTAAAATCTTACTTTTAAACTCAGATTATTTCATAATTTTCCTCAATTTAGTTAATTCTCTTTATTCATGTCTCTTCATCACCAAATACTTAATGGTATTACATCATAAGCCCCTTGAGATCAGAGACCAGGCCTTCACATTTGTTTTTATACTAACACATAGCACAATTCTTGACTCGTATAGATATTTACTCAGACATATACATATATGATCCATATAGTAACATTTAATGTTTGTTGATTAAATGAAGGAATAATAATCATAAACAAGTGTGCATGCATAAGGGGTATTTATTGCTTACCTAAAGTCTGGTTTATCTGGTTTATAAATCTGATTTTCTTGAAAGACTAAAGTATTCTCTTCAATTCACCCGGAACACTCACTGATTTTTTTTTTTTCTTTGAGACAGAGTCTTGCTCTTGTTGCCCAGGCTGGAGTGCTGTGGCACGATCTGGGCTCACTGCAACCTCCGCCTCCGGGTTCAAGTGATTCTCCTGCTTCAGCCTCCCGAGTAGCTGGGATTACAGGCATCTGCCACCACACCCAGCTAATGTTTTTGTATTTTTAGTACAGACGGCATTTCACCATGTTGGACAGGCTTGTCTTGTACCCCTGACCTCAGGTGATCCGCCTGCCTTGGCCTCCCAAAGTGCTGGGATTACAGGGGTCAGCCACCCTGCCTGGCCCTCTCACTGCTTTCTTAAAACAAGGGAAGATTTCTCTGCATTTTACAGAGATTGCTCAAATAATAATTATCATAGCTAAACTTATTGCCCAAGGTTGGAACCCCCATCACCATTGCCTCCTGCCTCACCTTCTCCCCACTGCTTTAAACTACATCCAATTTAGTTCATCACTCAACTATTACTATCAATTCTACCTCCTAATTCAGTCTCCCTTCCACTTGATTCCCACCACTGCCTAATTCAGGCCCTCATCATCCTGAGAAAACACTGTTTTCATCACCTGTTAACTGGTCTCTTTCCAGTTCAACTCTAACCCCTGCTCAGTCAGTTAGGCTCTTTCAGGTTGTACGGATCAGTGATAAGATCTGGAAACCTCAGCTAACGGCAGCACAGTTAAGCAGAGCAGACCCAAAGAATCCAAAATGATGATACTTCGAAGTCTACAGTTTATCACAAGAAAAAGATAAAATGTAACAACTGCATTAAAGTAGAGATAAGCATCACAGCTAGGGGCTGTCTCATAGCAAAAAGCCGGAGCCAAGGGCAAGTTCCAACTGTCCTTTCTCCACAAGGTTCTTCTCAGGATCCACTTTCTCCCTCAGGCCAAGAACCACTGACTTGTGAATGAAACACCCAAATGGAGTTTCAGCTGCAGTATCTTATTCCCTGCTGATCCCATAGACATATCCTGCTACGTGACCCTGCCTCCTGGGGTTTCAGCAGACACAAATCGTCAGTCTCACTGTTATCAATAAACAATAATGATTAGCTGGTAAAAATCAACCTGAAACTCTTGGGGTGCTTGGTTACAAAGCCATGCGACCAATCAGTATGTTTCAGATCAGGGCTGTGCAGGCTCATTTCACATTTCAGCAGAACAACTCAGGCTAGCTTCAGGCCTGCTAGAATTAACCTTCACATCCCAGAGGGTTTAGTATAAAGATTTAGGGGTGGTTAGGAAGACAGAATATTGTCTCAGCAGCCTTTCTTAGATCTTAAATATACAAGCTGCTCATTACTTTGCAAAACCAACACTAGTTGGCACAAATCTGGGGACCCAAGGACAGCTCTGAGTCTCGCATGCTCATGACTCAGCTCTCTAACCTTGATTCTCTACCTGCTTCTTTCTGCCATGCTACCAGTTTATCATAGTCTCTATATGTTTCAGTTTAAATCCCCTGAGAGAGATCTGCTGAGTCAGTTAGCCACCATCCCATACTGAGTTTCTGTGGGAAGAGGTCTTGCACGGGGCCATCTCTTGGGTCTCTGGCTAGCCATAAAAGGACAGACACCTACACCATCTCAGTTAGCTGTGACTAAAGCAACAGCACTGATGGTTTAATGCATGGTTCCCCTGAGCCTTGGAACTGCTAAAAGTGAACTACAAGCATGGCCTTGCATACAGTTGTAAATTTCTCTCCAGTAAAGACAGTCCATTCCCTAATGCTATTTTTCCAAAAGACAGATATAATCATGTCGCTCCCCATTTTCCAACCCATCATAAGTTCCCCGTGTTGCATGAAATTCAAACATTTTAGATTCATACACAACTCTGCTGTCTAATGTAGCAGCTACTGTTCTACATGTGGCTATTTAAAATTTTTATACTAATTAAAATTAAATAAATTTACAATTCAGCTCTACAGTTACACTGGCCACATTTCAAATACCGTATTGGATGGAGAAAATAGGAAATGCAGAAAGTTGGTCTAAGATGTCTTGTTAAGTCACTTTCAACTATTCCAGCCTCATCTCCCACCACTTCCCACTATGTGCCCTAAGCTTTAACCACATCAAAATCCTTGCTGTTGCCCAAACATATTATAATATTTTAGGCTTTTAATATCTGTATTAATGCCATTCCTGTGACTTGAAATGTCCATTTCTTGTGCACTTTAGTGATCTCTTACTCACTTTCTCAGTCCCTGCAAACACAAAACCTGATCTATGGAGCTTTTCCTACCATTTCAGACGCCAATCACAGCTAGCTTCCCCCTTTCTCCCTGCTCCAAGGGAACTCTGTATATTATTTTATTGTAATACCCAACTGCATTATATGATAATCTAGTTGTACCCAGCATACCATATGCCATTCTAGAAGAACTTAATAGCAAAGGCAGTTTAACTATTGCTTAAGAGTACAAATTCAGGTGCCAGATGGTCTCTGCCAATGACTACTTGAGTAACCTTTTGGCAAGTCATTTAACTCCTCTTTTCTCAGTTTTCTCACCTGTAAAACGAGAATAATAAAACAGTACCTTTCCCATAGGGTCATTGCGAGGATCAACTGTGTTAACACAGAAAAAGCACTTAGAACAGGGCCTGCAATTTTGCTAAGGTGCTATCTAAAAGTTAACTCTTAGTAAACTGTTAATACATTTTATTTATTCATACATGAGGTATATCTAAGAACAAAACCATAAGCACAATTAGTAGTTCTCCTCTTCTCAGGCACACTTACTGTGCCCAGTGGTCAAGCTCTTTAATACACAATGTTGTTGATAAATATCATTAGTTTTCTATGACTAAATGTAGGTTTTAGAAGGTATATGAAGATCCTCTCAAGAGTCAGTCCCTGGGACTTATTGATGGTTTTCTAAAAGGTTCATCATGCAGGAACTTCCAAGAAAAAAGGAACAGAATGAGAGGTGTCCCTGTGGAGTGCAGTGTTTACTTTAGTACTGCATAATTCATTTCTCTTGGATGATAACTTGTTGCTTCTTACATTCTCTTCTGTTTGATTGGCATGGCATTTTTCTCTTCTTAGACCCAATCTTTCTTCTCTTTCCTCAGTGTTCCCATATCCATCACAGCAGAGTTTTCTTTCTTGAAATCTATTTTATCTCTCCCCTAATAATCCATGGTCATATTAGTTTTCTATTGCTCATGTAACAAATTGCCACAAACTTAGTGGTTTATAGCAACATAATTTATTATCTGATAGTCCTGGAGGTCAAAAGTCTAAAATTAGTGTCACTGGGCTAAAGTCAAAATGTCGGCAGGGTTATTTCCTTCTGGAGGCTCTAAGGAGAGAATCTGTTTCCTTGACTTTCCCAGCTTCTAGAGGTCAGCTGCATTCCTGGTCCATGATCTCTTCGTGGTGTCATTTCAACCTCTTGCTCTGCCACCACATCTCCTGTCAATGACTCTGATCCTCTCATCTCCCTCTTATAAGGACACTTGTGATTATATTGGGCCCACCTGAATACCCCAGGATAATTCTCTCATGTCAATGTATTAATTTAATCACATCTGCAAAGTCCCTTTTAACATGTAAGATAACATATTCACAGAGCCCGGACATTAGGATATGAACATCTTTGGGGGACCATAATCCAATCTACCACACCTATCATATTTTTACAATGTTTCCAAGTTTCCTATAACTTCCTCTATTTTTACAATTAAAAAAACCTAAATATTTCATTAAGTAAATGAAGTTCAAAATGCATGCAATAATTTGATTTAGTAGATAGATACAAGAGAATTCTATACTATTATGACTTTTATTAAGTTAAAGTAGGTGACATATTTAGATTGCTTCTAAAATTTTGTATTTAAAAGCCATGTAAACAAATGCTAGAAACACATGAATTTTTATAGTCATTTTCTACCTTCCATTCATGAGTGACATGAACAGTATTCATTTAACAGGCATGTTTTCAAATGATCACAGGATGCTTGAGTATTGGTTGCAATGATTATGTGAGACCTGTGCCCAGCTACATCTGGGGGAAGCATACTACCTAAGCTGTATATACTACCTATGCACGTATATGTACATACCTCCACATATATGTACACAATATATTTATACTTATGGATCTCTAATACATATGAGATTCATACATATATAATACATATATAGCAGACCTACACACACACACACACACACGTTGACAGCTCTGTGTCTGTCTCCCCTATCATAATGTAAACACCTTGAAGACTGAGCCCTGAGCTTATTTATCCTTGAGTCTTCGGTAGTCCTGACTTAGCCAGTTCTCAGCGATTGTTTCTAGGATGAATATACCTGCATTACCATGTGACACATGAGGAAATGGGACAGAAGCCATCTGACAAGAAAATGAAATGGCCAGGCTCTTTCTTTGCCCGCTTCTCCTTCTCAGCATCTCAACATTGAATAGACTACGCTAGGAAAATGTGGCTCACATGGTCTCCCTCGTTTATGCTAGTGTTTCTGTTGGTATTTTCCTTTACTTCTTGCACATTCTGATGGACTGAATCTCTCAAACCACTGGGGTGTCCCAAAAGTGTGTCCTTGTTCCCTCCCCACTCACAATATCTGCAATATCTGAAAAGCCCTCACCTCCCCCACTCACTTCCTCCTCCAGTTCACTTATTCCATCCACCCCCTTCCACCTCATCTTCAAATTGTCTCCAGTTCCTTTACTTTATATAATCAACAATAAACCCTCCAGAGAAAAGAGGAGAATTCTAGAACTTTTTAATTTTCAAGCTTTATTGTAAATTAGTGGACTATCCTCTATTGGAACAAAATTTGTGATAATTTTAATGGTATCCCTAGAAAACAGGGATTTTTAAATACTTTGGAATTGGTATACTTTGTTATTTCTTTAATTTTACAATATCCCCCACCAATACCTCATTCCTCTCTCAACTAAAAGTTATTAAAAAATAGTTGGCGTCAATAATTTGGGAGTGTGTGTGTGTTTGTGAGTGAGAGAGAGAAAGAAAGAAAGAGAGAGAGAAGCTTTGAGGTCATTGAAAATACTATGAGGTAATTTGCTCTTTTTAAATTTTTGACGTTTTTAACTTTTTACTGTTGATTTGTATTTTATTTTCCACTTATTTACTTAATATTCAGTTCTTTCAGTAAGAATAAAATGGCATATTCTTATATGTTCAGATGTCTTCTATAAAAACAAACCTTGACTTTTACCAGTTCTACTACTAAGTGCCTGATATAAAGAAAATGAGGAAAATTTAAACTAACAAACCAACCACATTCCCAAGATTGGCTAAAAAGAAACATAAAGGCCTGATTAAATTTGTTTTTATACACAAGAGGCACAACACTATAATTCAAAGGTCATTGTCTGTTTAAAATATGACAGTTACCAAACAAGGTGCGTCTTGTGCACTGCCTCCCAATCACAACAAATTTCCAAGAAACCATCAAGATTCTTGCCTACAAATCCAATCCTTGCAAACAAAATATTTGGCTTTAAGCAAAAATTGAGACAAAAGTTGATATGAAAGCATCAAACAGACTAAAAACGTTATGAAAGCTCTTACTATAACATGACTGATGCAACTCAGAATCAATCCTTTTTGGTTTTATTCTATGGCTAGACATCAGCAGTTGTTTTCTTAAAGGGCCTGAAAGTCAATATTGTATTTTAGGGTTTCTAGGCCATATGCAAAAACTCCACTCTGCCCTGTCATAGCAGAAAGCAGCCATAGCCACCATGGGAAAGGAATGGGTGTGAGCAGAATGGTCTACAGTGGCCGGAGCAGGCGATACTTGGCCAACCTCTGGTCTGTGCTAACCAACCCTGTCAGAACATCCCTCTCCCTTTTCACCCTCTCCCTGTGGAGGAGGGAATGCTCAGTGAGAAAAGAGTCATAAACCTGTAATTGAAACCTCATTTTCCAGAGAAGAATACTGAGATTCTGACTCCTTCAGGTGACTTGGCAAAGATCCAATAAATTAATTAGCATGGAAGTAAGATCAGAGTTCATTCAAAATTATGGAACATTTCTCGACCATGTATTCTGTCTGATGAGCATCTAAGCACATATACCTTATCTGATTTCATTCTCATAAAAACTTTCTAAAGTACTGTTATAATCTTTGTTTCATCCATGAAGAAACTGAGATTCAGAAAGGTTAAGCCACATGTCAATTTCACAGCAGGCAAATGGTACAGGAAGAGGCCAAGGCTTTGAACCCTCTGCTTCTTGCCACCTCCACTGCTGCTGGTGCTTCTGCTGCAACACTCTTACCAGCCTACTTTCCATTGGATGCTATTCCATGGTCCTCTTAAGAAGCCTTGTCATGGTAGCATGTGTTTTTTTTTTTTCTGTGTTTAGAAGTTAATACTGGAGTTCTCACCATTTCATCTGCCCTACAGTGTCATGGGTAGAATTTTTCCTCTCAGAAACACTCACAAAACCTGACTTGTTTAGCCAGTCTAACCATAATTCTGCAATACAGAAACAGGGAGTAGTCCTTAACTTACACACCCATGGCCAACCCCATGTAGAAAGGCTGGGAAATTGAATTGTTTGATCTTTACTTATGCAACTACACTAGCCTGAAAAGACCCAGAACCACAGGGCATAAGGAAAGTTGGTTGACTTGATGCCCCCTCCTACACTGTCAGACTCCTGGAGAAGCTCTGTGATTCATTCCAGTGCAGGTCTTCAGAATAAAAGACTGAAATTTCCTTTCGTTCACAGCCAAAATGTGTGATTATCTTAGAAAACTGGGCCTTCCTGGCACCCCCAACATTGCACTACATGAACCTCCCCACACACTTCACCCATCTTGCTTTCCCATAAACCCTGTCAAATGAGTAGGTGTAGAAATGTAGAAAGCAATACAGACACATGCAGTACATGCTACTTTCCTAAATTGATGTATTTCCTTATGAAGGCTTGTCAAGTGTCACAACTTAAGTCTCACCATTAAAAGAAAAAGCCATCACAGGCGAAATGGCAAATTGTGAGCTGAAACAAATTTTTCTAAATTGATGCGCTCATGTCACAGAATCAAATATTATTCTTCCTGTATCCTACATGGGAATGTAAGCCACTTTTACATGCGCATTTACTTAAGGAAAGGTTGTGTTGTCCACACACTATTATATTCATCTTCAACTACAGAAAAGGGCATACATAAAGTGCATTATCCTCAATCACTAATATCCATAAGCAGATATTCCCTCTCTGCCTTTCCTTTTCCAACCAAGGTCTATTTTACATCTGTTGAAATAGATGGGTTCCAAATTAAAAAAAAAATATTAAGTAGGAGGAAATTTCTGTCTTACAGCAAAAGTAATCCCCAGTAGGTTTCTGATGAAGCAACTTTATAAGATCTATTGTCCTTGACTCTTTCTTCCAAATCTTTATTTCTCCCAACAGTAATGGAATGAAAATGAAATGAAAAATCTGGAGTCAAGCTGGGTAAAAAAAACCCCATAGGAGTCTCTACTGAAGTAAGACAAGGCTCAATTAGTGAAGCGATGGGTCATACAGTCAAATCAGCAGCTTTACTATTCACAACAGCAAAGACATGGAATCAACCTAAATGCCCATCAATGATAGACTGGATAAAGATAATGTGGTATATATACACCACGGAATACTATGCAGCCATAAAAAGGAAGGAGATCATGTCCTTTGCAGGGGCATGGATGGAGCTGTAGGCCATTATCCTTAGCAAACACAGGAACAGAAAACCAAATACTGCATGTTCTCACTTGTAAGCAGGAGCTGAACAATGAGAACACGTGGACACATGTGAGGGAAAAACACACATTGGTGCCTGTCAGAAGATTGCGGGTGGGAGGAAGGAGAGGAACAGAAAGAATAGCTAGTGGATGCCAGGCTTAATACCTGGGTGACAGGACAATATGTGCAGTAAACCACCCTGGCACATGTTTACCTAGGTAACAAACCTGTACATCCTGCACATGTACTGGCCAACAGGCTGTGGGACTTTTTCAGGTGCTACTTGAGTTGACTGCAGAAATTTCTAGAAACAGCGCCAATATATTTCACTGATTTCACAGAGGTAAATCAAGAAAGGTTAAAAATTATGTTGGTGAAGTCATTTTCTGTAAACAAACAAACATTTAAAAACTGCAACAAAAAAATTATCATCCAGAAAGCCTCAGCAAAGCACTTCAGATACCTCTGGGCAAATTCCTAACCATAGTAAACAAATTCTAATGTTCCACCTAGAGATTTGACTGCCCTTTGCGTAGCTGGGCAGCTTCCTGGGTCTCTCCAGGAAGGTATGCAGCACACCCAGTGGGCTGACCCACCCTTCACAGCCAAACCTGACAAGGCTGAGCAAATACACTTTCAAGGCAAAAACATTCTTTAGGGATTGTGCAAAGGAATTTGGCAGCTGTGTCTTCCCCAGGAAGTGTGGCATTAAGAACAAGTTCCTCAGTTGGGGGCATAGGATCATCCACAAAGTAGAAACCACTATTAAATTGTATTTACCCAGAAATCCACATTTACATTAAAATGCCTGTAGCCTACCTTCCTCTGCTACTTTAAGATATTAAAAAAGAAGTCACTTAATACCGAACCAAGTAAAGTATGGAACTAATACAGGATACTTTGCATAAATATCTTTTCTGCTTCTCTCTTTTCTTCCTTCCTCTCCCGTGAAGCAGATGCTGGCATTCACAGTGCAGCCCAGGAACCCAGTAAGAATGACTCAAGTATCTCCTTCATGCTAGGAGGGATGATAGGCTTCAGCCCAGAACAGAGCTTCCAATAGGGTTCTTTTTCAATCCTACAAGTCACTGTGAGCAGAGAGATAATAAGGTCCTTTTCATTCTAACCCTGTTTCCACAGGCAATATTGGTCATAGAAAAGTCAAAGGTGTAAGAGGTATTTGGTTCCAGCCTCTATCTTTTTATCACCAGGATCCTAGTAGACCCAAGCTGAGGGCACTAGCTTTCTGTTTTGATGTGTGGTCTGCTTACTTTGGGCAGGCTCTGCCATTGAGTGATGAAGGTGCTATTGCCCTGAGTGAATCATGTAAGAGTGCAGAGGTGAGCTGCCTGTCACCCTGGGGGAAGGGCTGAGTCTTTCTTGATTCCGAATGGGAGTCCATTGACATGGTCCCGTGAATCATCTGTGAACTACACATGACCCTCATGGATGCCAGAGTTGAGTGGGTGGAGCATTGAATAATTTTTTTGGTTGCTGTTATTTTGTTTGTTTAGCAAGGAAGGCTCTCTGACTTGTCCATGGGTTGGGGTAGATGAAATAATAGGCCAGTTCCTGGAGGCCAAAAAGGCAAGCTGAAAAACAAGATGGATGCTGGAGAAAGAAGTCTTACAAAATATCTAGGTCTTTGGGACTAGATTATTGTTACTCAGGGACAGAAACCTATTGTCTGTAATCATTTCTGTGTGTGTGCTGGAGACAATTTTATTAGTGAATAGTGGTTTGCAACTTTTCCCTCTCTCTAGCCCATATTAGAGCATTTGAGCATTGCCCACTCATCTTTATCCTCTACTACCTCTATTTCCCAGGTTGATTTTCAGGAGGACCAGCTACACAGCATAAGACCTACACAAAATGGAGAAGAAGGAAATTGATATGTCCTAAAAGTCTACTGGATGATGAGGATGGAGGTGATCAAAAAGCAAGAGGGCAGGGAGAAGGATTATGAACTAGAAACAGTAATGGAGAGATAAGAGAGTGAAAGACTCCCTGGAGCTGATAGGCACTAGATAAGTATTATACAAGGAGGTTTAGATTGCACTAGCATAAAAACATTTTGAGCATGTACCACCTATAGATATTTTTACTTACTTTTAATTAAATATCTGCACTTTGGTGTATTTTGTGTTGTACCAATTATCTGTGGGAAACCCAGCACTATCTATTTTCCAAGATCTTCGAACTGCAATGGCTACAAGATTAGGAACTACATTTCTCAGAATGCCTGCCAGCACAGGTTTGGATTATGTTCTGCCTGTGAGAGATACTCACACAAGCTTTTGAAAGGTAGGAGAGAAGTAGAAACCATAATATTATTCCTGAGACACTGGCAGTAAAGAGATCATGTGTGGCCAGGCGCAGTGGCTCACCCTGTAATCCCAGCACTTTGGGAGGCCGAGGCAGGCGGATCATGAGGTCAGCAGATCGAGACCATCCTGCCTAACACGGTGAAACCCTGTCTCTACTAAAAATACAAAAAAATTAGCCGGGCGTGGTGGCGGGCGTCTGTAGTCCCAGCTACTCAGGAGGCTGAGGCAGGAGAATGGCGTGAACCCGGGAAGCAGAGCTTGCAGTGAGCAGAGATCGTGCCACTGTACTCCAGCCTGGGCAACAGTGTGAGATTCCGTCTCAAAAAAAAAAAAAAAAAAAAAAAGAGATCATGTGTTTTGGCAGACGATAGATATAAGATGTTTCCTGAAACTTCCTGGCATCTTCCTGTGAATTATTTCTTTTTAGTGGTGAACAGACAACTGAATCATGGTGAACCATTTCCTGCAGTTCCTGAAATTCCCCATTTCATGAAAGGCATCAGCATTTCTGCTTGACCTTCATTCCTCCAGCCTTCTTGTTTCTTTGGAAGAAATCTGATTTGATCTTATAAAGCAGAATACACAATTATAAATTAAAAAGAATAACATAAGTACTATTTTAAGTATATTATTTTACAAAGAAAATAGAAAAGAAAGAAAGAAAGAAAGGAGGGAGGGAGGGAGGGAGGGAAGGAAGGGAAGGAAGGAAGGAAGGAAGGAAGGAAGGAAGGAAGGAAGGAAGGAAGGAAAAGAAAGAAAAGAAAAGAAAGAAATTCTGGGCCAGGTATGGTGGCTCATGCCTGTAATCCCAACACTTTGGAAGTCCAAGGCAAGAGAGTGGCCTGAGGCCAGGAGATTGAGACCAGCCTGAGCAACATCAACAAAACCCCATATCTACAGAAAAATAAATAAAAAAAAAAAGGCTGGGCAAGGTGGCACACACCTATGGTCCCAGCTACTCAGAAGGCTGAAGAGGGAGGATCTCTTGAGCCCAGGAATTGGAGGCTATAATGAGCTACAATGGCACCACTGCACTTCAACCTGGGTGACAGACCGAGACTCTGTTTCTAAAAAAATAAAAATAAAAAAGATGGTCCCAGATTGAAAGCACCCCAGATGCCTGACAGAAACAAACAAAAAAAATCCCTCTGAGATTCTATCACCTTAGCCTTAATTACACCTATAATTAAAATTTTAGTTAAAACGTTCAGCAATGTCAAAAAATAACTAGGCACACAGGAAACATGTCACCAGGAAAAAGAACCAGCAGAAACAAACAGCTAATCAAAATAAATACACACAGGTCTGTGATTGGAAGTATCAGTACAGATCCTAAGATAAGTATGCATAGGATGTTCAAAGAAATAAAAGCAAAATTAGAACATGTCAGCAGAGAACAGAAAATTACAAACAGTAATATAGGAGATTAGAAAGAAGTGGTGTTTGAAAAGTGAAAGAATTCTAAATTTGAATCTGTCTTTTTAGATTGTTATAGAGGTATATTTGTCAAGTTAGAAGGCTAGGACATATTTTCTTTAATAGTTCATTAACTTGATTCATAACTTATCAACATTTAGACATATGGTATGTGGGCCATCATTTGTATTCATGCCGCAGGCTTAGGAGTAAACCTGTAAAAGAATAAAATGAAAACTTCATGCCAATAAATTTGAAAATTTAAACAAAATGGAAAAATTTCTAGACCAATATAGCTTACCCAAACAGATCAACAATAACAAAACCATATATCTGAACAATTCTGTTACCATTATTAAAAACGAAAATAAAGTCAGTAATTACAAATCTTTTCACAAAGAAAAGTCTAGGTCTAGAGGATTTCATAGGAAAGTTGGGCTTATCCTAGGAATACAAGATTGATTTAACATTACAAAATCAATTAATGTGGTTTACCACATTAACAGATTAAATGAGGGGAAAAATTACATGATTATCTCAGTGAATGTGGAAAAAGCATTGGAAAAACTTCAGCATCCACTCAGTTCACTGAGATAATCATGTAAGTATGAGTGGATGGAACATTCCTCAATCTGATTAAAAGTATCTACAAATCCTCCATCAATCACAGTATTTAAAGTTCATACCTTTCCCTTTAAGATTAGGAATAAGACAAGTATGATAACTATTGCCTCTTCCAGTCACCATTTTACTGGAAGTTTTAGCCAGTACAGTCAGACCTCCCAAAAAAAATTAAAAAGAAAGAAATAAAATTATCATCTCTCATGGATGATATGATTGTATATATAGAAAACCCAAAAAATCCATAAAAGTGTTTAGAATTTAAAAGAGAGTTAAGTCAGGTTTTAAAAATATATGCATAAAATAAACATACAAAAATCTGCATCTCTATATGTAAGTCACAACAGAAAAGGAAACAAAAATAGTGCTTAGAATAGCATCAAAACTATGAAACATCAAGAAAGAAATCTAACAAAAAACATGCAAGAACTCTGTGGAGAAAATTATTTAACTGTGTTGGAAGAAAGTAAAGAAGTGCTAAATATATAGCAAGATAAAAAATGTCTGACGGATTGGAAAAACTAATATTGTAATAATATTGTGGCTGAGGCTGGTAGTTGTCCATCACAGTCTATTTTCTTTTTCTTCCATGGTGTTAGAATGTGTTGGGTGCATGGTTACCCAGTTAGAACTACATTTCCCAGCCATGTTAGTTGGGTGTGCCCATGTCATTAATTTTCCTCCCACAGAACACAGGCTGAGACCATGCTGGGCCTTACGTTATCAGACTCTTTCCTCTTCCCATTGGCTGGAGTCAGTGAATTGCAACAGCCCAACATGGCCCACACTGGGAGTTTCTGGCTTTCTCTATGTTCTGTGTGATCTAAATGGTAATTATAGATAGGCATGCATGCAAAATTTGATTGAGCTACAAAACTAAAATTTGAACATTTTACTGTGTTTGTTTTACCTCCATTATAGCAAGTTTCACAAAAAATTAACTTGATTGCAAAAGAGGGTAAGCCTGAGTTTAGCACAATCATTTAGGATGGTGGTGCAGCATTTTAGGTGAGAGATAATATTAGCAAGAACTAGGGTGATGACTTGAAGAGATGAAGATGAATGATTTGAAATATATTAAAGGAGTTTAAATCCATAGGATCTGGTGTAGTGGATGGTGATGAATTTGGATGTGAGAGGTGAGGGAGACAGAAGCTTAGGGAAAGATTTCCAGTGTTCTAGATCTACTTAAACAAGTTGAACAAGGTGGCCCAGAAAGTATGGGTCTGGCCTGAGGAAGGAATCTCCAGCAGTTTTTCACACTTATTTGGAAAATAAGCCTGAGAGTCTCCAAGTCAGAATTTCCAAGAGCCACTCCTCCTCCATATTTCCAGGTTTACATGAAAATTAAGCAAAGCCTGAATCACACCAGAGCCTTCTATGGAAAAAAAGGAAATGAACGAACATTATTAGATTCTAAACTCTCTCACCAAATTATCTTCTGATCTTATGATTATAAAATTAAATTTTTGCAGAATTGCAGCTGGCATGTGTATTAATCCTGAATTGTTCTCCTTTTTGGTGATTATTACATATTAGCATTTTTAAAATTGATAATAACCCATATGATTGTTATTATAAGTAGCTAAATAATATTCCTTTGCATTCATAAAATCTATAAAATGGCTGGCATGAAGAAGTGACTGCTGTCACCAGAAATAGTTACTAGGGAAATGACATAAATCACACGATTGCATGAGACAGTGAAATCTACCTGAAAATCATACTTCCCATCAAAGCCAGCTCCCTCTAGACTGCTATTCTCTCTTCCCTTCAAAGCCAAGGGAAATTAACAGAGCAGAATATCTAGGCGCTAAGCAACAAGGACACACAGACCCAGAACACAGGGGCACCAAAGCTGCGCTCAGTCAGGCAAGCCATCCCCCAAGTAGTAAGGAACTGGCTCGAGAGTTTTGCTGAGGATCTGGGAGGAAATTGACTCAATCTAATGTACTCATCTAATGACTCAATCTAATGTAATGGAAATCACTGTACTGAATGAAGATGCAAGGGCAGAGAATCATTTGTTCTTACTAATAACAGCCCTGAAACATAACATGACCCACCTATCAGAGCCACATGAGTTTGTTCCCTGGGCAGTGTTTTCCATTGCCAAGGAAAGCTAAAAAGACTGTCTCCCTAAAGTCAGTCCTGAGACCAAGGCTGTTACTCCACAGCTAGAGAACCAGGAGGCTCAAGGAAAAGCAGCAAGAGTTTGCACTTGAAACACTCACTTTCAGCGGGTTGCAGAATTGCAGCTGGTGTGTGTATCAATCCTGAATTGTTCTCCTTTTTGGTGATTATTGCATATTAGCATTTGCACTCAGTTTCAGCAGGTTGGCCATTGAACACAATCTAGGAAATCTCTGCATAGTAGCTGTCAGGGATGCACAATGCAGGAGACTAGGTGATGCCAATAGGGTCTGTCTTAGCAATTCTATGGGAGTGTATTGTAAAGAGCTTAAAGATGAGTCATTGAAAGACAAATAAAATATATTTGTCTTCTACCTTTAAAAATATCCAATTCTGTCAATAGTTCTTAAAAAGCAATCAAGCAGTTAAAACAACAATCACAACAAAACCACCTTTGCAAATATTCGGTTCAGCTCCATAGATAATGTATTAGTTAATGGCTTTGCTGGGTATGTTTTAAATACTCACCATGTTAAACAGGAACTCTCTCCACCTGAGTTTTTCTGGAACTGCAACCTGTTATTTTGTTTTAATTAAAAGACATTATTTTTTAGAGCAGTGTTTAGTTTACAGAAAAAATTAAGTGGAAAGTACAGAGTTCCCAAATATACCCTTGCCCCCACCCTTAGCTGTCCCATTATTAACATCTGGTTTAATGTGGTGAATTTGTTAGAATTGGTAAGCCAATATTGATATACTGTTATTGATTAAAGTTCATAGTTCACATTAGTTCACTCTTGGTGTGGTACAGTTCTAAGGGTTTTGACAGATGCATATCACACATCCACCGTTACAGTATCATACAGAATAGTCACACTGCCCTAAAAATCTCCTGTGCTTCACCTTCTAATCTCTCTCTCCTCTTCCCCTTAACACCTGGCAACTACTGATCCTTTCATTGCCTCTATAGTTTTGCCTCTCCCAAAATGTCATGTTTGGAATCATACAGTATATAGCCTTTTCAGACTGGCTTCTTTCACTTAGCAATATGCATTTAAGGTCCAATGGTGCAACGTTCCATTTTTACTTAGTGAGTGGTGAAAAAAAGTATAAAGTTAGCAAATTTTAAAAGAAATACTCTTGGTATACACACAAGTCATTTAGGATTTGCACTTTTCAATATGAATGTGTCAAATACAAGAAACAATGAATTTTGGAGTAAAGACTATTCCCATTCTCATGCTAAATGTATAGTCTTGGCCAACAGTAGATGGAAGTCCCATGCTGGTGATTTCGAAACTTGTTCTTTCATTAAAATAATATTTATGGAGTATGCAAGGAGTGGGAATGGAGAACTGCAAATAAATCCAGAAGTATTTTTAATAGATTTACTTATTGTAGTGGTATGAGTAAAGTGATTCTGAAACAATTTAGATCAAGCTTGTTCAACCTGCAGCCTGGAACAGCTTTGAATGAGGCCCAATGCAAATTTGTAAACTTTCTTAAAAACATCATGAAATTTTTTGGCAAGTTTTTTTAGCTCATCAGCTATCATTAGTGTATTTTATGTGTGGCCCAAGACATTCTTCTTCTTCCAATGTGGCCCAGGGAAGCCAAAACATTGGATGTCCCTGATTTAGATGTATTATAGGATTGCACAATGAGTTAATGCATTTGTGTTGCTGAGAGCGAGAGTTCTCACAGAGGAAGGTAGGTTGTAAACTATACAGTGAGGATGGCAAGAAAGAAGCCCATGGGAGTGGATTGAAACTGAAAGTATAGATCTGAACTCATAATGTCTAAAATATGTTGTATGTGTTTATGTATGTGTATGCCCACCTGTATACACATATACCTCTATGTTTGTGTGTATATATGTCTGTGTCTGTATGCATGTGTATACACACTCACATTTCCTAGCTCTGTCCACTGAAAGGGTCAAGAAGTAAAGATATCCCATGTGACAATTAATATTAGGTGTCAACTTGATTGGATTGAAGGATGCCCAGATAGCTGGTAAAGTATTGTTTGTGGCTGTATCTGTGAGGGTGTTGCCAGAGGAGACTGATATTTGAGTCAGTGGACTAGGAGAGGAAGACCCACCCTCAATGTGGGTGGGCACCATCCAATCAGCTGCCGGTGTGATTAGAACAAAAGCAGGAGGAAGAAGGTGGGATAACTTTGCTTGCTGAGTTTTCCTGGCTTCCTTCCTCTTCTTGTCTTGGATGCTTGCTTCTGCTCCTTCTGCCCTTGGACACCAGACTCCAGGGTCTTCATCCTTTGGACTCTGGAACTTGCACCAGTGGCTTCCTGGGGGCTCTCAGGCCTTCTGCCACAGACTGAAGGCTGCACTGTCAGCTTCACTGGTTTTGAGGCTTTCGACTCTGATTGAGTCACTACTGGCTTCTCTCTTCCCCATTTTGCAGGTGGCCTATCATGGGACTTCACTTTGTAATTATGTGAGCCAATTATTCCTAATAAACTCCCTTTCATATATACATATATCCTATTTGTTCTGTCCCTCTGGTGGACCCTAATACACACACACCAGTAACCAGAAGCACATCTAATGCCTAGAATTTGGCCTCTATCACTATTCTCCACTAAAAAGAATCAAGGCTCCACTCCATGTAAACATGCTGAACTGCTAAAATACCTTAAAATTAATATTAAAATAATCTGTGCAAAGATTTGCACTATCAATTATGCTGGGAATTCAAAGATACAATGTGGTATTCACTAATTACCCACAGTGAGATAGATTCTAGAGCCAGATGATGCAAGATGAGTCTGGAACATACTATGTCTAAAAGTGCGGAAATGCTTTAAAAAAAGTGTGGGGCTTGCAACAAAGCCAAGGAATCAACTTGAAGAAACCCCTAATGACCAGGTCAGGGACAATTTGAACACCAAAATATTAAGTAATGCATTATAAACCATTGAAAAAATACGAACTAGTGATACCAATAATTAATAAATAAATAGGTGAGGAAAAGGAAGGTCTCTTGCTTAATGTAGAATGCTGAGTGCTGGCTGGTAAATGCGGAGGTGATGCTGAAGCTGGAAAATCACCATTTTGCAACATCATGGTAAAGACTGGATAAAGCAAGAATCATCAATGGATACTAAATCTAGGGGGATATTTTGTTGAAGACCAGAAACTTGCCATGAACTTAAACAGTGTTACCACAAATTGCTAATTCGCTTCAACGTTTTTTTCAAAAAGTAATGATACAAAGGAGAAGCTCAGCAATACCTTCACCAGGTGCTTAAAATTAACATCACTGGTGATGAACAGATGGCCTTGGCATGCCTCCCCTGAGAAGGGCACAACATCACCTGTGAAGTATTCGGTTGAAAATGTATAACTTGACTCCCTCATGAAAAACCAGCAGACCAATGAGGAATATTCTATTTAAAAGAGGAGAAGAGTATAGTCTTCAAAAATGTTACTGGCACAAAAGACAAGTAAAGGCTATGAAATATTCTAGATTAAAGGTGATTAAAGATACATGACAAATTAATGTAATGTCTGACCATAGATTAGATCCTCAATTGCAATGGAAAATGCTACAAAGGTCATTGTTGGGGCAATTGCATAAGGGCAATAGCTTGGATAAAATTACTTTATCAAAGTTAAACTTACTGAAGTTGATGAGTGAACTGTGGTTATGAATGAAAATATCTTTTTATCATAATCACTATTATTATCTATTTCATTCATTATTTAAACTACAATAATGTCAGAATAAGGAATGTATTTAATTGCAATGTAAAATTGCAATTGACATGTAAGATCTTTTTTTATCAACAGTGTACTAAGTATTATAACATTTTCCATATTTATGTAAAATTTTCTATTTTTTCACTAGGAAAATAGTGAAACTAGTGAGCAATGCTAATGTGTATGAGGCTCTCCAAGCCAACCCTGATAATTGAGTTTAAATGTTAAGCTTACAATTTTACTAGTGCCCTTAGCTTTCCTCACAAAGAATTAATTGATTTAATTTTAGAATCTGAATGTTCTGTAATTATTCTACATTGCATTAAAGAAGTTTTCCATATTATTGTTTGACAATGTTTTGTGTGAAGAACACAAAGTAGAATTTTTTTTTCCCTTTTCTTTTTTGTTTTTGAGACAGAGTCTCGCTCTTGTAGGCCAGGCTGGAGGGCAGTGGCGCGATCTCGGCTCACTGTAACCTCTGCCTCCCGGGTTCAAGTGATTCTCCTGCCTCAGCCTCCTGGGTAGCTGAGACTACAGGCATGCACCACCACACCCGGCAAGTTTTTGTATTTTTTTAGTAGAAACGGGGTTTCACCATGTGTCAGGTTCTAACTGAGGTGCAAGGGGAGTCAGTGGGCAAGTGGCAGGTAGCTGGAAAAACACTTGAGGAATCGTAAACAATTTCAACATGGCTCTATTCTGTGGGCACCAGCAAGCCATATGTACAATGTTAGCAGGGTAATTATACCTTTTACAGACAATAGTGGCTCCAAGCCAAGCACGAGCTCATGTGGGTGATCATCTAATGTGCCTCACATGGCCTGGTTACATAATGTGTGGGGTCGTGCATCTGCTCTCCAAACACGCTGAGTAATGCTGCACCAGAAGGCCACCTCAGCCTACTCCTGACTAAAGCGCAGCCATTTTTCTTACACTATGTTGGCCAGGCTGGTCTCAAACTCCTGACCTCAAGTGATCTGCCTGCCTTGGCCTCCCAAAGTGCTGGGATTACAGGCGTGAGCCACCGCACCCAGCCAGAATGGTTTTTATTAGAATGAATAACATGTTCTATGTAAGATTAGTTGTGTTTAGTATGGGTGTTTTGCCTTCAATTCTACTTTGGTACTCCTTAGGACTTTGGATGAAAAACTTTCATTGTATTTTTGTTAGAACTTGACTTTTCCATAAACCCCCTCACCCCCCAAAAAAGAAAGAGAATATCTCTATTATTAGGAAATGCACAGTAAAATATTTTAGGGTAAAGTGATACTGGGGTAAAAAGCCATGATTTGTACAATTTATATTGGTAAAATAATGGTAAATCGTGAAGAGTCAAGACAGCAAATTACAAACAAATGACATAAAATGATGACAATAGATGAACCTGAGTAAAGGGTATAAGAGATGTTCTTAGTGTTATTCTCATTCTTGCAACATTTTTCTAAGTATGCAGTTATTTCCAAATAAAAAATTCAAATTAAAAATCAGACTGGGTGCAGTAGCTCATGCCTGTAATCCCAGCACTTTTGGAGCCTGAGGCAGGTGGATCACTTGAGCCCAGGAATTTGAGACCAGCCTGGGCAACAGGGTGAGACCCTGTCCCTACAAGAAATAATTTTTTAAAAACACCTGGACATTATGATGCATGCTTGTGGTCCCTGCTACTCAGGAGGCTGAAGTAGGAGGATCACTTGAGCCTGGGAGATCGAGGCTGCAGTGAGCCAACATTATGCCACTGCACTCCAGCCAGGGCAACAGAGTGAGCCCTTGTCTCAAAAAATAATAATAATAATAATAATAATAATTCTAATGACATATGCAGTAACACCAAATATTCTTCCATGGATTCCTCATCTCTCTCCTGTAACCTGGACAACTCCTCCTGTTTGTCCTTTAAAATAATCTGCCAAAGCATTATTTCCTCTATGAATACCTTTGGCAACACTTTTCTCTAAAAAGAAACTCTTAATATACCTTTCATGTC
Source organism: Homo sapiens (assembly GCF_000001405.40). Classification (NCBI taxonomy): domain Eukaryota; kingdom Metazoa; phylum Chordata; class Mammalia; order Primates; family Hominidae; genus Homo; species Homo sapiens. The sequence continues at coordinate 77,510,574 of NC_000013.11, read as the reverse complement.
ATCTGAAATTGCATTTATACCTTAGTAACAGAGTGAAAGTAGCAGTGACTTAAACTAGACAGAAATGCATTTCTACACCCAACTTGAGGGAGAGTCAATCCAGGGTTCTGCTCAGTAATCAGTGTCCAGGGTCCTTCTATCTTTGTTCCCTGACATCCTTTGTACATGACTTCCATGCTTAAGATCACATCATGCTTCAGGGTGTCTGCTAGAGCTACAGCCAACACATCCGCATTCCACAACCACATCACGTCCACATTCCAGCTAGCAAGCCCCAGTCATTTCTCCCCAAGCTAAGGGAACTTTTCCCCAAATTCAACCCAAAAACTTTCATTTGCATATTATTAGCCAGAATTTAGTCCATGGTCACACGCAGCTACAAGAGAGGATAGAAAAATGGGGCCTTCAGCTGGATATTTTGCCACCTGGTATAGAATCGGGTTTCTGCTATAAGAAAGAGAAGAAGAATTAATACTGGGTGGGCAATTATCAGTCTATGAACACCTCCCATTGTGATATTCACCATTATTTTATACATCTTCCATTATGTCACATTTTCTTTGTTTTCATGTCAATATGGCAAACTACAGGATAAATTTTTAGATATGAAATGTCTATATTCATGTCTAGTCCCCTGATGCTAGCTCAGGCCAGTCACATGGTAATTGCTCGTGTAAGGTTGAGGAAATTAAGTGAACTGATAGGCAGCCATTCGAGATATTCCAAATGAGTACAATTTACATTCCACACAAGTATCATTCAATCATGGAAGACTTTGAGAACTGACTTCTCAAAGTTTAATTTGGTTATAAAATCTGAGTTAATTTTGGCAGTGACAAAATTCCCTGATGATTATAGGTCATAGAATGTAGAAGATATCATACAACAGAAGGTTTTAACAGAAAAATATAATTCTTTTCCTTAGCCTCAATGACTCTGCCCTCTTTTGTCTCTAAATGCTGAGAGTTCCTTCATTTCAATGTTAAAACATTTAATGTTAAGTGATTTCTAACCTCATGTAACCAATCTATAAGGAAGTGGGTTCAGGAACAATTTAAATGGCATTCTCAACAATGAGCAGCATAATAGGAAACAGGAAGCAAAGATGTCAGATTTCTAAGTGATGTTTCATCTTCTCAAGCATATGATTCTTGGCAGAACCCAACCGATCTTCAGAAACGAGAAAAAGGTCAATCTTTCTATGTGAAAGCACTTAACTGGAAAAGAATTTTCATCCACAGGAAGAAAAAACCTTCTGTAGTTGTGCTTTTACTATGTGTCAGGCAAGTTGCCAGATACTAGAGGCAGAATGGCATAAAAGAAAGAAAAGACCCTTAATTTTATGGAATCTTTAGCCTCATAGAGTTCTTCCAGCTAGTAAGTAGTAGAGTATGTTTTCAAAGATTGTCTGCCTTTAAAACCCACGCACTTCACTTGATCTTAGCCAAAAGGCCAGGAAGCAATAACTCACTCACTTGACCACTGTATTTTTGGATTAAGAATTAGTCCTTCTTATACATTTCTATCTTAAATTTTGGGTCTACAACCACATGAGAGCTTAAAATCCTAAACCGTTACATTCAGTACTTATGATTTCCATTGAAAAATGAAATTGGTGGTAATGGTAATTGAACTGGAATAACTTTTTTAAGTAAAACAGAATGTTCATTGATATTTTCTCTCGTTTTAAAGGCTCACTTCACTGAGTTCTATATAAATAAGTTACCAAAATTTTGGAGTTCTCAGATTGCTCTATGATCATCTCAACATAGCAAGCAACACTCAACTGCAAAGCAATCATTTGGATATTCTTTTTCTACTTGACAGCAAAAATTCATATTCAATTTTTTTCCCTAAGTTACCCAGAAAAGTTGGCACTGTGGGCAGCCTCAGCACAGTTGCCAGACATACTGGGGAAAAAAAATTACCCGAAAGAAAAGGTGGGGCTTCAGAAGTAAAACAAAAGCCATGCCAAGAAAGATAAACACACACCCTCCTTTGAAGATTATTGCCAAGTGTCTTTAAAATCATGCCAAAGAAAGCATCCCATCCAGGTTTACTTCATCTCAATCTCTCCTGTTCTAACTCTAAATAAGCAGGCTGTCACTTGCAGCTCAACAATTCTACCTTGAGCTTTAAAAAGGTATTAAAGAACTTATTGCCTGAAATCAGAGCACTGTTTTTACTGTGTTGCCTGATTCTTATCTGATGGAGAACAGTCAAGAATGGAATATAAGGCGTCTGGTCACATATTTGAGACCACAAAAGATCAGGGTGGGACAACCTCACAGTACATCATGTGTTCCCCAGATGGTCCATTGAGTACCTTCTTCTTTGAGAAAAAAACAAAAGCATCCCTTACTGGTTGTCACACGTACATTCTCTAATTAATAATAGGTCTATCACTATGGGAAGTTGTCCAGCCTGAAATGTGAGATCATCAAACCCTAGAAAAGCCATAAAAATATCATTTCGCTATGTATACCCGGCATTCTGCCAAAAGAAATTGTAAGTGCCTCTGAATCACTGCTCCAGAGCACCAGCCCACAGTGACCACAAAGCATATGCAGTCTCACCTAGAATGATCAGCAAGATAATAATTCTCCCTGGTAATAACACTTGCTGTGGTTGCAAGCCCTGATCATTGTTCTCTTTTTTAAAACTAGGGGAGAGACAAATGCTCATGAGTAACTGTAAATGTGACAAAGGATGATGTCTCCAGGTCAAAAATGGACTACGTAGTCCATTTTTTATGCATTTCCCCCTTCTTAAAAATTACTATGAGTTACGCCTGTAATCCCAGCACTTTGGGAGGCCGAGGCGGGCGGATCACGAGGTCAGGAGATCGAGACCACCCCGGCTAAAACGGTGAAACCCCGTCTCTACTAAAAATACAAAAAATTAGCCGGGCGTAGTGGCGGGCGCCTGTAGTCCCAGCTACTTGGGAGGCTGAGGCAGGAGAATGGCGTGAACCCGGGAGGCGGAGCTTGCAGTGAGCCGAGATTGCGCCACTGCACTCCAGCCTGGGCGACAGAGCGAGACTCCGTCTCAAAAAAAAAAAAAAAAAAAAAAAAATTACTATGAGTTATTGCATAACAAAGTAAATTAAGTGATTATATTAAGTCATTTTAGTTAAAAATTGTTCCAACTTGAGCCTAATGCCTGCCTATGATTATAGTTTGTAGCCCTATTAAATTCAGGACCACCCCCCGCCAAGCCAAAAAAAATTTTTTAAAAAAATAAGAACTAGGCAGAAGACATGGAAACAAACACAATCACAATCATCTGCTTGGTTCTGAAATCTGAGTATGACCAAGAAGAGGTGTTTAGCGGTATTGGTGGGATCGCGGAGTACAGGGGATTCAGGACTTTATGTCCTAAAAAGGAGCAGTAGTACCCAAGTTCTAAAAGGGACAATAAGAATGAATCTAATCAATTTCTTTTTAATGAATAAATTAATTGAATTGGACATCTCCATATAAAATACCCATGCACTTTTCACTTTGGGGCACTAGAGGGAAACAAAGTAAGAAAAATAATGAAGCCTTGTGTATCAAGCTGCTAAAAGAATACTTTTTTTTTCCATGTTCATGAACTCTTCTGTTACTTTTGGTGGGAAATGGTATTCACATGGTAGCCTAGTTTAAAAAAATACCATTTTGGATTTGATCTCACAATACTTCAAGCCCACTTACCAGGAACAAACCTACAGCCAGAACCTCAAAAGGTCCATTATCTTTGGTTAAGTCAGAAAAAAAAAAAAAAGTGAAGCAGTAAGTCAGCTTTGAGAAGGATGCAGGTGACAGAAGCCTATTATTTAAGGCTTAATTAAATTCTTTTTAGGAAATTACTTTCCCAATTACATGTAAGAACACATTTTTCAATGTTATGAGGGTGGGAAGAGGGAGAGGTTCAGAAAACAAACAAACAAAAAGCAGTTGGGTACTATGATTAGTAACGGGTGACAAAATAATCTGTACACCAAACCCTCAAGTAATGAGTTTACACATATAACAGACCTGCACATGTACCCCAGAACCTAAAAGTTAAAATATAAAAAAAAGAGCAGGAGGCAGCAATCCACTTCTGACTTTAGCTTCCTTTTTAAAGTGCACCAATAGGAATGTCACTGCTTTCAGAAATGGAAGAAAAAGAAGCACTATAATTTAGTACACACATTTCATTGCCATCTTCTCATAAATAAAAAGTGTTCTGGGATTTCTTTTGTTTGTTTGTTTTATGTTTTTTGAGATGGAGTCTCGCTCTGTCGCCCAGGCTGGAGTGCAGTGGCGAGATCTCGGCTCACTACAAGCTCTGCCTCCCAGGGTTCACGCCATTCTCCTGCCTCAGCCTCCCGAGTAGCTGGGACTACAGGCGCCCGCCACCACGCCCAGCTAATTTTTTGTATTCTTAGTAGATATGGGGTTTCACCGCGTTAGGCAGGATGGTCTCGATCTCCTGACCTTGTGATCCGCCTGCCTCGGCCTCCCAAAGCACTAGGATTACAGGCGTGAGCCACTGCACCCGGCCGTGTTCTGGGATTTCTGTTGCTGATGATAATAAATATCAGGGAGCTCTTTGGGGAGTCTCCAGTCTTCAACCCTCCCTACTGTGGTCCACTTCCCTCTTCAAATGGACAAAATTTCAGGTGAAGGAAGCCTTATTTTCTAACTACTATGACAGTGATTATTTTTAATCATGTTTTATATATGGAATATTTTTATGGTTAGTTTAATATTGAGGTGATGATAATGTTTGAATTTGAACTTGTCATACCCCTCAATTCAATCAATTTTCAAATCTAGGGATTAGTCTTACTGAAAGGAAAAAACCCCACTGGGTTCCTGTAAATTTATTCAAAGCATTGTTGAAATAATACTTGATTTAAAAATGTATATATTCAATGTGTACCTGTATGTGTATGTTATAGAATTGTTTAGAGCCAGACGTTGTTAGGACAGAAAAACAAAGGGGTAAATTTTTTTCTTATGTGCACTGTCACTATAAAATGAAAACATATTTATTTTGAGTACCTCTGTAAATTTGGTATTTATTTGCAAGGCTGAATGAGTATAAACTTAGTCCTTAGTCCTTTCTGAGTCTTCAAAATCTGGGGGTTTACAAATTCAGTGGTGTTTGGTGCCTCTAAATTTTCTTTTTTTTTTTCTTTTTTTTTTTTTTTTTTGAGACGGAGTCTCGCTCTGTCGCGGCCAGGCTGGAGTACAGTGGCACGACCTCGGCTCACTGCAACCTCTGCCTTCCGGGTTCAAGCAATTCTCCTGCCTAAGCCTCCCAAGTAGTTGGGACTATAGGTGCGCACCACCACACCCAGCTAATTTTTGTATTTTTTAGTAGAGATGGGGTTTCATCATGTTGGCCAGGATGGATCTCTTGACCTCATGATCCACCCCCATCAGCCTCCCAAAGTGCTGGGATTACAGGCGTGAGCCACTGCACCTGGCGGGTGCCTCAAAATTTTCTATATAGCAATAGACTCTGAAAAAGTAACACTGAGTAATAGTAATGACTCTGAAAAAGTAACATTGTGCTTGCTTTTTATCTATTTGCATGTTTCAAAACTTAATAGCTCTTATAAATTCTATGGGTTATTAGAATTAAAATAACAACAACAACAGTAATAATGGTAGCATTTTATCTTTTCATCTTCAGGTTTTGTGTTTGAGATACTCAACTAATAGTTACAAACGCAACAAGTCATGGCCTGTAGAAATTTGCCTTAAACAGAGAAAAAGATGTAACAACATATTGTAAACACACTTAACAGTGTATATAGGTATTACTAGAATGTAAGCTCCACGAGCGAGCATAGCAGCTTTTATTGCATTACTGCATGCTGTCTGCCTATCACAAGGATAGTGCTGAGCACAAGGGGGGCACTCAATTTTGGTTGAATAAATGTCAGTAAGGTTTGACCAATGGAAAATGGAAGATTTTTTCCTCACTTTGAAACAGAAATCATCCCTAACAACTAAATAAAATCAACAGAAAAGTTTAAATTGCATAAATTCTGGATGACTCCCGTATCGGCTAGTCTGAACTAGCCAGTCACGGTACCCTGGAAAATGGACTGATGACTGAAAGCCTCATACCTGACCCTATGGGAGTGGGCATGGGAGACATTGAAAAATTAAGTGGGAAAGATCATATTAAAGATTGATCTTTAATTAATTAATTAATTAATATGATTAAAGATCATATTAATGATTTAATATGATTAAATCCCATTTTGGATATAAACTGAATTTACTCTAATTTTATAGATAAGAAAATTGATTTGCTCTAATTTTCACACTGGCAGAGATGGGACTTCATCTCTCTGAACCCAAAACTTGTGGGCTTAACGGCCCTTCTAGATTAAGAGCATTTAAGCCAAGGTTAGGAGCAATATATGGGATGCAGTAACTTAAACAGTGATGGCCTGTTTTACTTTCTCAGTAAAGCCCAGAACAAACACCAAAAGTAATGAAACAGTAAAGACAGAATTAGGAAACATGCGATTTTTAGCAAGTTGGTTGGAACAGATAGTGAGATCATTACCCTGACATAGCCACATCTAAAATGCAAATGAAATACATGATGTCAAATATGTGTTACCTCAATGCTTTTTGAGGATCTTTTCATAAAGCAGATTCTAATTAAGCTAAAATTGGCAGGGGTAGCAGGGGCAAAGGGCAAGATTCTGCATTTCTTACAGCTCCTGGATGGTGCCAATCAACTGGTCCACAGACCAATCTGTGACAAAGCCTTACCTGATTCTTGTTTGAAATATCAGGTAAGAACTACATCCCTCTCCTTTGCCAAATGAACGTTTGGGACCTGAAGCTTTTCAGGTTTTACCAGCTTGAAGCAGGTAGGGCAACAGCCAGTTGTCCCCGAAATCAAATTAATCACAACAGGCCTAAAGTGAAATTTTGCAGATTAGCATTGGCGTTTAGGTGGAGTGATAATTATGCAAATATTCCAGCATACTTCTCTTTCGGTTCCCTTTTTTTAACCTGGCTTATTCCCTCAAATTCTCACCATTCAAAAAACTAGAATATAAACACCACAGTAATGGAATTTATTACAGCGTAATGATAGAATGTGCTAAGAATCATGATTTTTCCATTTCATTTTGGGTTCCACTATGAAGGAACCCACTATATTTTTTATTTGATCTGTGATTCCCCATCTGCCCCCTTTTAAAGACAGCAATTCAGTTGTAGTTACATTAGTATTATTCTTTAAGCAGCATTTATTAAGGGCATACAGTGTATCAAGCTGTATACTGTTTAAATAAACTGTTTTTTATTTTCCTCAAAATAACCCTAGGCGATAACTACTACTATTTTTCCCATTTTAAAGATGAGAAAGCTGGCTGGGCACGGTGGCTCATGGCTATAATCGCAGCACTTTGGGAAGCTGAGGCAGGCGGATCACGAAGTCAGGAGTTTCAGACCAGCCTAGCCAACATGGTGAAACCCCATCTCTACTAAAAATATAAAAATCAGCTGGGCGTGGTGGCACATGCCTATAATCCCAGCTACTTGGGAGGCTGAGGCAGGAGAATCGCTTGAATCCGGGAGGCGGAGGTTGCAGTGAGCAAAGATAACGCTACTGCACTCCAGCCTGGGTGACAGAGTGAGACTCTATCTCAATAATAATAATAATAATTAATTTAAAAAAATAAAGATGAGAAAACAGAGGTTTAAGGAGATACAGCAGCTTTTCCAAGGTAACATAACTGATAAGTCAGTGTTCCCTGAATGCAAAGCCTGAGTTCTTAGCCACTGTGCCCTGATAGTTCCTTTTCTGAAAGAAAAGAGTACAAATATTCAAATTTTCAAATTTTCTTTTGCATGTTTGTAAAAAGCAAGTTTGTGGTCCTGTTTTATAAGATATTTCCAAGCCTAGAAGGCATTTCTGGCTTACTGTGGGAGGTGATGCTACCCATCATGGACTTTATGACCAATAATCCTAAGTGTTCCTGACTTTAATTTACATGATGATTAATTCTGACCATGTGCATGTGTGTTCCTGTGGGGAATCCCTTTACTCTGTGCCTCTATCAGCTCCAAATTTAATCTGTAGCTGCAGCTGCCATGATGAGTGCCCCTGCCGCCAACTATTCCATCCTGGACTGTGTCTCTAGAATGACTAGTACACGAGTATATAGTTTCTTTTGGTTGTTATTTATATCATGCAAATAGGACTTAGAATGAATCACAGAACCTCTTATTTTCTCCTGGACCATTAGGTGTTGTGAAGACATAGCTGTATCATTTGAAGCTTTCTGAAACGGGCTGAAATAGAGAAGTGGAAACCCAGAAGATAAAGAAACCCCAGTGGGACAAGCAATTCAGAAAGCTCCAAGCAATGCCCAGTAGCCCAGAACAGCATAATGGTTCAGCAGAGAGTAGCAAATGGATGTCTTAGCATCAGAGACAGTATCGGGACAATCAGGTGAATGTAAAACTAGATGTGGCTGGCATCAGAGACAGACGGTTACAGGACCTGAGAGAAAGTATGAGGGCACTTGTACCCCATAGAAATGATGAGAACTTTGGTACTGAATAACCTATTTAGTGAAGCTCAAAGCAAGAGCTTGGTTTTTTGCTTTTTTAAAAAAGGGTCAAAGTTTAGCATCAAGTAAAGGATCTGAGATGGAAAACCACTAAGTGACCTGATTCTGAGCCTCCAAATACTAGACCTAAATTTACTTGCTTAAATGTCTTCCAGCTCAGAATGGAGTTAATCCTCCAGTCAGGCCTGCATCTGGGGAATGCACTATGAGAATTTAACAAATAGGAGCTTAGGAAGTCGAGCAGATCACTAAAATTACATCTTCTTTACTTGAACTTTGAATGCACTGATTGAAGTAAATGAGCCCCTTTTGTAACCGTTAATACTGCATTTAAAGAAACTGAGCAATTAGAGATGGCTGTGAAATTCTTAGATGAACATTCAAGTGCGTGTTGCATTGTATCTGTCTTGCAGGTTGACTGATAGTCACCTAGTCCCAAGCTAGCAAAGGCTTCTATTTGTCCCCAAATGTCTGGTCTCCCTCCTTTCTGGCCACATGGCTGTACAGAATGAAGAGAGGACAGTTCTCAGTTTCCTTTACCAACAGGCATTGCCCTGTGACTAAGTTCTGGCCACTGAGATGTCAGTAGTGTTGGGTTGAAGCACCAAAAAGTGTCCTTCAATGCTGGGAGCATGCATCCCTTTCCTTGTCTCCCTTTCCTTATTCCCAGGGTCTGGCATGAGAATATGATGGCTTGACTTAAAGAATGGAGACCACAGGCCGAGCGCAGTGGCTCATGCCTGTAGTCCCAGCACTTTGGGAGCCTGAGGCGGGCAGATCACGAGGTCAGGAGATCGAGATCATCCTGGCCAACATGGTGAAACCCCGTCTCTACTAAAAATACAAAAATTAGCTGGGCATGGTGGCATGTCTGTAAGCCCAGCTACTCGGGAGGCTGAGGCAGGAGAATCACTTGAACCAGGGAGCTGGAGGTTGCAGTGAGCCGAGATCCCGCCACTGCACTTCAGCCTGGCAACAGAGTGAGACTCAGTCTCAAAAAAGAATGGAGACCACAGATAGAGAAACGACAAGACAGACAGAAGCCTGGGTGCTTGCCTGAGTGCTTGAGCACATCAAGAAACAGAACTGCCTGCCATTAAACACATGGAATGCCTATATCCAGGCATTAATGGGAGAGATAAATTAACTTCTTTCTTGATTAAACTGCTGTCATTTGAGTTTTATTGACAGTTGCAACTAAACCCCATTCTAAGTAATTCACTGAACCATCATCTTCACAGAGGTCATAATCAATTAAAAAATAACATATTGGTTGCTTCATTGACTAACTAAGTGGTCACAGTGGCTGTTGATGTACAAAATGATGGAAATGAGGCTGAATCTGTGGAAAATCAGGTTTTAGCTAATCAGTTTCAGCCATTTAACATTCTGTTTAATGCAACACACAAGTTAAGCAGCAACACTAACATTCTCAAAATGAAGCATATTTACCTTCACCATTATTTCTTTAAGATATTTTTCACAGTCACCAAATTGTCTTATCTAGACATAACATAGACATTGAACAATCTTGATACTCCTTGCTTAGTACAAAGAGTTGTGATAAATGAGTGGAACTGAAGGGAAAAATAAGTAGGTAGGGAGCCAGGAAACTCTCCTACTGAAAAAGAAAAGTGTTCGTGGACCGTAAAATGAGAAAGGTTACATTAATCTTTTTCTGGCAGCCACAGTGACAGAGTAACGATGCTTTAATCACTGGTTAGATGATTCTCTGCAAAAATGTGAAAAAAGTAAATTAACAATTGATACCCACCACCCTTCTGGGTAGCCTCTTTGTATTATTTTCTAGCACACTCAACAGTTCTTAGCTCTAATGTCTTTATGATGTCCCCTTGGCTGCCCCTACACACACACACACACACACACACACACACACACACACACACACACAATATGATTCCATTCTCCAGATCTTTCATCTCATCTCATTAACATAATAGGAGCTGACACAGTCTTTATCTATTAGCTCATTTGACCCTATGAAATACATGACTATGAGGTGCCCTTATTATCCCCGCTTCAAAGATAAGAATGTGAGCCACAGAACTAGTAAATTGTGGAGCTAGAGTTCAAATGCAGGCAGTTTGGCTCAAAGTGAGTCTGTTCTACAGATATATCCCACTCCCTTAGGAATATTTGCAACATAAAAATGGCAGACGTTAGTTACCAGATAACATCTGCCAAGAAACACAACTCCTAAACCTAGCTAAAATTTGTCTTTTCAAGGAGGATCAATAATACAGCGCTAAGCAGGCTAATGGAGGAATTTGGGGGGAAGAGGATGTTCTGCATCCCTCAAAAAATCTCACTCTTTAGGTAGTCAACCAAGTAGTACAAGCTGACCTTCAATTAGAATCCTATGTGTAACTATCCTTGAGCTATTAATATACAATATGGACATTAGAAAATAAGTTAATTTTGACATTTTAAAAAATTGAGATGAATAAGTTCTGCTCTACCTGAGCCTAATATATTCAAACTTTCAAATGGATTTCATTTGCCCTTTTATGAAGCCTAAGTCCCTGATTTTAAGAAATTGCTGGAATTTTATTATTTCCAGCTTAGTACTGAACTGCTGTTCTTATTACCATTTATACTTCATTGTCATTTTCATTCTACCATTGATTATTTTTTCTCTGTATATAGAGAAAGCCTTTTGAATCTGGCAAATACAGACATTAAAAAGGCTTTTTAAGCTGGCCAAGTGCCACATGCCTGTAATCCCTAAGAGTTCAAGATCACTCTAGGCAACACAGACAGACCCCATCTCCAAAAAAGAAAAAACAAGGCTTTTTATCTATTATAATCATGACATACTCAGTTTCTGATTTCTCATGCCAACACAGTAAAGATACTGTCCAGGGAAGCTACTTCTTGTAAAGTAATATATTTATAACAAGAACTGATATTTTATAATCTATGAGATGGATTTTCTTTCTCTGTTTGCAGACGGG